>NC_000006.12:7332727-7484242 GCF_000001405.40 Homo sapiens | reverse complement strand
AAATAAAAATAGCCAGGCATGGTGGCATGCACCTATAATCCCAGCCAAAAAAAAAAAAAAAGAAAAAAATACTTTGATTGAACAAAATGTCTTTTTGCTTAAAGTCACAGTTTCTAAGAACCTATCAATGGTCTTAAGGGAGGACTTACTGTACTTGGGGCTCTGGCCAATGAAATAATGCAAGAAAAACAAATAAAACATATATAGATTAGGAAGGAGGTATAAAGGTTGTGTATTTATTCAAAGACAACATGATTCTGTATGTAGACAATCCCAAAGAATCTACAAAAAAATTACTGGCATTAATCAACCAGATCAGCAAGGTCACAGGACTCAAGTTCAGTACATGAAAATTAATTGTATTTCAATATAGTAAGATGAAATTAAAAAAAATTTTATTCACAATAGTATCAAAGAGAATAAAATACTTGAGAATAAATTTAACAAAGAAAGTGCAATAACTATACACTAAAAACCACAAAACATTACTGAGATATTTATCTGAAGAGCTGAGTAAATGGAGAGACGTACCATGAACATTGATCAAAAAACTCAATATTGTAGAGGACAGTTTTTCCTGAATTGATCTATAGATTCTATGCATCCCTATCAAATATCATCAGGCTTTAAAAATAGAATTTGATAAGGTGACCCTAAAAGTTATATAGAAATGCAAAAAAACCTTAAGCCAAACAATTTTGAAAAATAAAGTTGAACTTAAACTACCCGATTTCAAAACTTACTATATGAGTAAAGCTACTGTAATCAAGACAATTTTGTATTGGCCTAAGCATAGACTTATGTTATGGGCCAGTGGAATAGAATAAAACATCCCAAAATAAGCCCTTCCATTGAAGATCAATCGATACTCAAGAAAGATGCCACGCCAAAAAAAATAAAAAGTGTGGTCCTTATCTTACGCTTTACACAAAAGAGTATCTACAGTAATGCTAAAAATCTTTTTTTAATCCTGAATAATTAGCTCTTTGCTTTAACTCCTAAAAGTGGATCAAATACCTTGAATGACCTTGTCTGCTCTTTTGGACAACTTTACCAATGTTTTTCTCACTATGACCAGATTTGTCAAGCTCTGAGTCCCTTGGAAGAAACTCTACCACATTACCCTGATAGATACCTGCAGTGGGATTTTTTTTTTTTTTGAGTTGAAGTTGCGCTCTGTTGCCCACGTTGGAGTGTAATGGCACGATCTCAGCTCACTGCAACCTCCATTTCCCGGGTTCGAGCGATTCTCCCGCCTCAGCCTCCCTAGAAACTGGGATTACAAGCGCGTGCCACTTTGCCTGGCTAATTTTTTGTATTTTTAGCAGAGACGGGGTTGGCTGTGGCTGGCCAAGGCCATGTTGGCCAGGCTGGTCTTGAACTCCTGACCTCAGGTGATCTGCCCGCCTTGGCCTCCCAACGTGCTGGGATTACAGGTATAAGCCACCGCACCTGGCTTGCAGTGGGATTTTTAAATTGACTCCAAAAGGTACTGAAAAATCTTAGATGGGCTCTCAACTCAGATTTTATAAAAGAAAAATGTGTCTCCTGCCCTGCCTCGTGGGCGGTTGAGGGAGCAGAAACGGGTGGGCAGAGGCCTTGTCCTCTAGAGTGGGGAATTCCATCTGATGGAAGCCTAATCTCTAAGGAGAACTGTGATGACCCACACAAAACCTCTGCCTCCCCAGTTGTCCACATCAGGGGCCTAATTGATGGTGTGGTGGAAGCTGACATTGTGGAGGCCTTGCAGGAGTTTGGACTCATCAGCTATGTGATGGTAATGTCTAAAAAGAGACAAGCACTGGTGGAGTTTGAAGATGTGCTAGAGGCTTGCAACGCAGTGAACTACACAGCCGACAACCAAATACATATTGCCGGTCACCCAGCTTTTGTCAACTACTCTACCAGCCAGAAGATCTCCCGCCCCGGGAACTCGGATGATCCGGAGCGTGAACAGTGTGCTTCTCTTTACCATCCTGAACCCCATCTATTCGATCACCACGGATGTTCTTTACACTATCGGTAATCCTTGTGGCCCTGTCCAGAGAATTGCCATTTTCCGGAAGAATGGAGTTCAGGCCATGGTGGAATTTGACTGTGTTCAAAGTGCCCAGTGGGCCAAGGCCTCACTCAATGGGGCTGAAATCTATTCCGGCTGTTGCACTCTGAAGATCAAATACACGAAGCCTACACGCTTGAATGTGTTCAAGAATGATCAGGATACTTGGGACTACACAAACCCCAATCTCAGTGGACAAGGTGACCCTGGCAGCAACCCCAACAAACGCCAGAGGCAGCCCCCTCTCCTGGGAGATCACCCCACAGAATATGGAGGGCCCCACCGTGGGTATCACACCCATTGCCATGATGAGGGCTATGGCCCCCCAGCCCGCGACCTCACTACGAAGGGAGAAGGACGGGTCCACCAGTGAGGGGGAGTCACCCTTGGGGCCCAAGTCGCAACGGCCCCTAGTATGGGCACCCCCCACCCCCTCCCCACCACCCGAGCATGGCCCTCACCCCGACAGCCCTGTCCTCATGGTCTACAGTTTGGATCAGTCTAAGATGAACTGTGACCAAGTCTTCAATGTCTTCTGCTTGTATAGCAATGTGGAGAAGGTGAAAGTCATGAAAAGCAAGCCGGGGACCGCCATGGTGGAGATGGCTGACGGCTACACTGTGGACCGGGCCACTACCCACCTCAGCAACAACTTCATGTTTGGGCAGAAGCTGAATGTCTGTCTCCAAGCAGCCAGCCATCATGCCCTGTCAGTCATGCGGGTTGGAAGTCACGTCTTGCAGTTACAGAGACTTCAGTGAATCCCGAACAATCGGTTCCCCTCGCTGGAGCGGGCAGGGAAGAACCGCATCCAGCACCCCAGCAACGTGCTGCACCTCTTCAACGCCCCGCTGGAGGTGACTGACAACTTCTTTGAGATCTGAGATGAGCTGGGCGTGAAGCGGCCATCTTCTGTGAAAGTATTCTCAGGCAAAAGTGAGCGCAGCTCTTCTGGACTGCTGGAGTGGGAATCCAAGAGCGATGCCCTGGAGGCTCGGGGCTTCCTGAACCATTACCAGATGAAAAACCCAAGTGGTCCATACCTTACACTCTGAAGCTGTGTTTCTCCACCGCTCAGCATGCCTCCTAATTAGGTGGCTAGGAAGAGTCCCATCAGAGCAGGAAGTCATTTCTCTTCCCTTTATGCCATTTTTCGTTTTTTTTTTTTTTTTGTTTTTTTTGTTTTTGTTTTTTTTTTGAAAGCTAGGTTTGTAGAGGCTTAACCTTAATGGAAACGCTGGAAGTCTGCAGGGGGAGCGAGAGGGGACCTGATCTGTCCCAAGATTAACCTTCACTTCTTCACTTTTAAAAAATTATTGTGGGCCGGGCGCGGTGGCTCACGCCTGTAATCCCAGCACTTTGGGAGGCCGAGGTGGGCGGATCACAAGGTCAGGAGATGGAGACCATCCTAGCTAACACGGTGAAACCCCGTCTCTACTAAAAATACAAAAAATTAGCCGCGTGTGGTGGCGGGCGCCTATAGTCCCAGCTACTCAGAAGGCTGAGGCAGGAGAATCGCTTGAACCCGGGAGACGGAGGTTGCAGTGAGCCAAGATCGTGCCACTGCATCCCAGCCTGAGTAACAAGAGCGAGACTCCATCTCAAAAAAAAAAAAAAAAAAAATTATTGTACATGTGATTTTTTTTTTTCCTGTTCATACATTTGTGCTGCCCATGTACTCTTGGCACATTTCAATAAAATTGTTTGGAAAATAAACACAGCAAAAAAAAAAAGAAAAGAAAAGAAAAGAAAAATGTGTTTTCTATCTGAAGGATTTAATTGACGGCTGTGCCAATAATTTCTCAAATTTAGCTGTGCTCATTCTCCCTAATTTATTTGAAAGACATGACAAGGAAAACAAGACCTTCCTTGGGCTTTTCACTGCTGGGGCTCTCTGGCCCTAAAGAGCGGAGAGTGTCTACAAAATCCTAGGTCAGCAGCTGCGGTTTTGAGATTTCACACACGTAGTGCCTAAGTGTGTGTCTGTCCTGACAGCCTAGAACATTGCTGATCAGGACACAGCCTGCCCAGGTGAAATGCCTCCGAGGCAGGCAAACCCTCAATTAATCTTCTCAAGGCTTCAGTAGACGTAAGAAATGAGTGGACACGCCTTTCTATCAACGGAGAAGCTGTGGGTTTGCTCATGTTTTCTGGATTCCTTCCAGCTTCTGGGTAAGTTTCCCTTCTCGCAATTCAGGAATGGGTGTGGAAAGCTGCAAGCTTGTCTTCCCTACCAGCGGCAGCAGACTCCCTGACCTGCCTGCACTGGCAGCAACTTGCAGGACGGACACTTTATTCTTTTTTTTTTTTTTTTTTTTTTGATACAGAGTCTAGCTCTCTTGCCAGGCTGGAGTGCAGCGGCGCGATCTCAGCTCACTGCAGGCTCCGCCTCCCGGGTTCACGCCATTCTCCTGCCTCAGCCTCCCGAGTAGCTGGGACTACAGGCGCCCGCCACCACGCCCGGCTAATTTTTTTGTATAAGAGACGGAGTTTCACAGTGTTAGCCAGGATGGTCTCGATCTCCTGACCTGGTGATCCACCTGTCTTGGCCTCCCAAAGTGCTGGGATTACAGGTGTGAGCCACAGCACCCGGTCTCTTTTGTCTAGAAATTTCATACAAGGGAAAGCAGGCCCTCTTCCCATGAGATCAATAAAAGGGAATCGTATTGAAAATGAGAATACATTCCCAAAACACATTTCCATCTATCTCGTTACCCACAAATACTCATTAAAATTGAATTTAAGAATAGCCAGCCATATCTTTTAAGAGATTACTTCCCTCCTACCAAATTAAACTTTAAAAACTCTATTTCAGTTAGTAATGAGCCTTTATTTTAGAATATATCAGTCTCTTATCAGAGGCATCAAATCATTTTCTTTTCATCAATAAAAATGTCACAATTAAGAATTATAACTCAGCCAGGTGCGGTGGCTCAGGCCTGTAATCCCAGCACTTTGGGAGGCCAAGGCCGGCGAATCACCTGAGGTCGGGAGTTCGAGACCAGCCTGGCCAACATGGTGAAACACTGTCTCTATTAAAAATACAAAATTAGCTGGGCATAGTGGTGGGCGCCTATAGTCCCAGCAACTTGGGAGGCTGAGGCAGGAGAATCACTTGAACCCGGGAGGCGGAGGTTCCAGTGAGCCGAGGTCATGTCATTGCACTTCAGCCAGCCTGGGCAAAAAGAGTGAAACTTTGTCTCAAAAAAAAAGAATTATAACTCAATTTTTTGGAGCTCCGGCAGCCATAACTCAACATTTGTTCTCACAGTGCACTTTCTACCTCATAATTTCAAGTTTCAAGAGAAAATTAATATCACATGATCAGAAAAATGCAGATAATAACTGTACAAACCTGGGCAAGTCATTTTCCTCTTCTAGGGGCAATGTGTGCAGGGCTGACTCACAATCACACCATTTCTTTCAGATTGATTATTACTAGATTTTATATATTAATAAATACATTAAAGAAAATGCCTAGGACCACCCCTAGTTTGTGACAAGGTTAAGCATGGCATGTGATTTTTAGGTCTTCAGTGTTATTTCTGAATATTGCTCCTACCAGTATAATCTTCTACATTTTTTGTTTTTGATGAAGCGATGTTATCACCCAGTATCTTTTTTTGTTTGTTTGTTTTCATTTTGGTCATTTTGGTCACTGCACTGGAACACAAACCTGCCCCTCTTTCTGTCTCTCTCTCTTTTTCAGTCGTCTGTTGCCCAGACTGGAGTGCCGTGGCTCAAACACAGCTCTCTATAACCTCAAACTCCTGGGCTCAAGTGATCTTCCCACCTCAGCCTCCGGAGTAGCTGGGACCACAGGTGCACGCCACCATGCCCAGCTAATTTTTTTGTATTTCGTAGAGACAAGGTCTTGCTGTGTTGTCCAGGCTGGTCTGTAACTCCTGGGCCGAGGCACTCCTCCTGCCTTGTCCTCCCAAAGTGCTGGGATTACAGGCATGAGCCACCACTCCCGGCATCCTGCCTCTTTTCGATATATATTTTTTTTTTTTGCATTCTAAAAATAGCATCTTTTCTCAGATTATAGAATTAGTATTATTCATCACAAATATTTAAAATATGAAAAGTTATGAAGAAAATCAAATCACTCCTAATCCCTCCACCAAAAGGTAATCACTGTTAACACTTGTAGTTTATTTCCCTCTAGTATTTTTTTTTTTTTTTTTTTGAGACAGAGTCTTGCTCTGTCACCAGGCTGATGGTGCAGTGGCGTGACCTCGGCGCACTACAACCTCTGCCTCCTGGGTTCAAGTGATTCTCCTCCCTCAGCAACCAGAGTAGCTGGGACTACAGCCGTGCGCCACCATGCCCAGCTAATTTTTGTATTTTAAGTAGAGACTGGCTTTCACCATGTTGGCCAGAATGGTCTCGATCTCTTGACTTCGTTATCTGCCCGCTTCAGCCTCCCAAAGTGCTGGGATTACAGGCGTGAGCCACTATGCCCGGCCCCTTTGGTATTTTTATGTAGAATCACTTTTTTTCTCCAAAAGGTATACAACAAATAAACCAAAAGCAGTTTTCCCATTTGTAATCCATATCTATCTAGCATAAAGCCATGTAAACTTGGTCTCGAGCTTGTCCCAACAGCCCTACCAGCCCGAGTTTTCCTATCCCTGCCTTGTGGTCTATTTCTCCATCCACCCTGACCCAAATGCCACTCTCACAGAACTCTAGATTTGAGTTTGCCTTCATTTCTGTTTGACCCCTCAGACCTTGGGAATGTGAATTGTAAAGGCAAAACTTCATGAGATTCGTTTTTCTCTGAACCCAATATAACAAAAAAAACAAGTGAGATTTTATTAAAATCTACATTTCTTACTGTTTTTGATGCTTTGGAAATCAATCCAGTTTTACTCTGCCTTTTTCAATGCAGGTATTTCAAAGGATATGAGATACTCAAGAGCAGGCACCTATTTATATTTGTAACTCCAGTACATGGCCCATGGCAAGTGCTCAATAATTCATGTTCACTGGTCACTTAAACAGAACTTACAGAACTCTTGCTTCCTGTCTGGGTGAATATAATCAATGCTTAAGATTAATAAGGGCAACAGTAATGAATGCGCTTGGTGGTTCAGGATCCTTTACTAGCCAGAATCACTGGTCTTTAACCCCTAAACATTTCTGTTCCCCTAGTTGGGTCTCAACTTTTTAACTACTAGCATTCTCCTCCTGCAGCCACGGACTCAGTCTGTCTTTCCAGCGACCCACCCCTGGCTGGCTTGGACACTGCTCTACCATCAAGCATGGTATTTGCCTCCTCACTTCACTGACTTTGAAGTCTTCCCCACCTCCCACGGCTCCTCCACCTACTGCAGGCTGCCCACTCCCACCCTCATCTCTCTACTGAAACAATTCTTGCCAAACTCTATGGCCACTTCTCAATCCTTATCTCGCCTAAGCTCTCCAAGGCATTTGACACACTTGACCTTGTCCTATTCTTTGGAGATCTTTAGAGTGCATGACTTCTTGCTCTGAGTCTTCCTCGTACCTCTAACTGCCCCTTCCCAGCCTCTTTTGCAGAGCCCTCTTCCTCTGCCTGAACCTTAAATGTTGGAATCCCCTGAGTTTCCATCCACAGCTCTCTTCTCACCCTGCAGACTTGCCTACCTGGTCTCATCCACTCCTATGATTTCTGCACTGTGTAGGTCCTACATGCCAATAACTCTATTCCATCTCCACGTGGAATGTATATGCAAGCACCTACTGAATAGCTCCACTTGAATGTCCCTCAAAAGCAACAGGTCCAAAATAAAATTTAGATCTTCCTTCCCAACCTCTCTTCCTCTTGTTTTATGGTATCCAAGTCAGACACCTGCGAGTCTTCATGCCCTTCTGTAACCCCAAATCTAGCTAATGGTTCACCAAGTCCTTTCTAGTCTGTCTTGTTACTATTTATCCAGACTGTGATCTTCTCAGGATGTCCATCTGATCCTTTCTCTTATATGATGCCATGCCTCTTATAAGGTCCAGTCTCCTTCATGTGATTTAGAGGCCTTTTGGGATCAGGTCCCTGCTTCCCTCATTAGCCTCACACCTTAATAGTCCCTGTGGTCCAGTCGTACTGAACTTCTTTACATTCACTCAGAGGCTCTGATGTCTCTCTTCTCTGGAAAGCTGCCTCTACTATTCCAACCACCTGGAACCCCCAATATCTCTCCTTCACCTGGCCGTCTCCTGCTCCTCCTTCAGGTCTTAGCTGAGACATCATTTTAGGGAAGTTTTTAAGAAAGTCTTTCTGATGCTCCAAATCTCTTGGAATATGCTCCTGGTATATATGCTCCCAAAATACTCTGTATCATGTTAGCTCATACATACTGTCATTGCCTTCACACTTGGCCCGGTGCTCTGGTTTTAATGTTTGTCCCCACCAAACCTTACGTTGAAATTTAATTGCAATTACAACAATATTAAGAGGTGAAACCTTTAAGAGATGTTTAGATGAGGTGGCTCACACCTGTAATCTAATCCCAGCACTTTGGGAGGCCAAAGCAGGAAGATCACTTTAGCCCAGGAGTTACAGACCGGCCTGGGTAACACAGGGAGACCCCATCTCTACAAAAAATAAAAAAAATTAGACAGGTGTGGCGGCATGCACCTGTGGTCCCTGCTACTCAGGAGGCTGAGATAGGAGGGTCACTTGACCCCAGAAGGCTGAGGCTGCACTGAGCTATATTTGTATTACTGAACTGCAGCCTGGACAACAGAGTGAGACCTTGTCTATGTTACGAGGGATCTGCTCTCATGAATGGATTAATGCCATTATTGAGAGAGTGGGTTCACTTATTCCTGTTCTCTTTCTCTCTTTCTCTTTGCCCTGCCACTGTTCACTATGGGATGACAAAGCAAGGAGATCCCTGGTCGGGCGCGTTGGTTCATGCCTGTATCCCAGCACTTTGGGAGGTGGAGGGGGATGGATCACTTGAGCCCAGGAGTTTAAGACCAGCTTTAGTAACATGGTGAAACTTCATCTCTGCCAAAAATACAAAAATTAGCCAGTCTCATAACTCAGTCTCTAAATAAGCAGATAGATAGATAGATAGATAGATAGATAGACAGACAGACAGAGCGATTGATAGATTTTTTTTTTTGAGATGGAGTCTCCCTCTGTTGCGCAGGCTGGAGTGCAGTGGCATGATCTCAGCTCACTGCAACTTCCACCTCCTGGATTCAAGCGATTTTTCTGCCTCAGCCTCCTGAGTAGCTGGGATTAGAAGCATGTGCCACCACGCCTGGCTAATTTTTGTATTTTTTTTTTTTTTTTTTTTTAGTACAGATAGGGTTTCGCCATGTTGGCCAGGCTGGTATCGAACTCCTGACCTCAGGTGATCCACCCGCCTCGGCCTCCCAAAGTGCTAGGATTACAGGCATAAGCCACCATGCCTGGCCCAAGAGATAGATTTTTTTTAAAAAAAGAAGAAGAATTGAAAGATGCCAGCCCCTCAATCTTGGACTTCCAAACCTCCAGAACTCTGAGGAAAGAAATTTCTGTTCCGTATAAATTACCCAGTCTGTGGTATTTTGTTATATTGGCACAGAACAGACTAAGAAAACCAGAACTGCCAAGTAAGTGTCTGCCCTAGGAAGGCAGGGACCTTGTTTCTCTTTTTTGCCTTTGTATTCCCAGCACCCAGCACAGCACAATGCTGGCACATAAAAGATGCTCAGGGGAAAACATAAAGTAAATGTCAAATAAGTGAATGAATAAAGGAATGAGCAAACGAATGTTCTCCCTTTTGCCAATGCCCTTTTTGTCTCTTGCCAGGATAAAACAGATTCCTAAAAGACCTCCCCATTCCCCTGTCCAATTTATTTTCCATATTTGGGTTAGAATGATCATTCTGAAAAAAAAAAAATGTAATCATGACATGCCCTGGTTTAAAACCAATGTCTGTGCATTTCTAACAAGATAAATTACAGACTTGGCACAGGTTCAAGGCCCTCCATGAATGAGCTCCTGTCCACCTCTTCTCTTACCCTCCCACCCCACACCAACACTCAACTCCAGCGCTACTGAGTGATTCTTGGTTCTTCCCACAAATTGGCTCTCTCGGCAGTGGGCCTTTGCACACGCTCCTCCTCCCTTTCTCCTCTGCCTGGCCCACTCACATCGATCTTCAGGACTCAGCTTAGGAGTCACTTCTCGCTAGGAGCCACCTTTGAGCTCTCAGTTCCCTGGTGAACAGAAGTAGGTCCCTCTCTATGGCTCCTATTGCCCCACATGCCTTCAATGGGCCTTTAGTCATAGCACTCATCAGCCTGTGGATGCCCTCCCTGAGATTCAGTTCCATTGCTCTTGAGAGTTCAGGGGCAAAGTCTTTCTTCTTCTTCTTCTTTTTTTTTTTTACATTTTCTTTTGCTTTATTTCTTTTCACATTCGAAAAAGTGGAGAGCTGGGTAGCCCTCACAACACCTTCAGTCTCTCTCACTTCCCCTAACCCTACTGTGAAAGTTTCTCAGGCCTTCAGGCACGCAGGAATTGCAGCATTATCTGGTTATCTCTTACTAATAATCGTTGTTTATTTTACTGGTGAATTTAGTCCATTTATGGACATATCCGTATTCATTTCTACCATTTTATTTTGCCCCTCCTTTGGTTTTTTTTTTTTTTTTTTTTTTTTTTTTGAGACAGAGTCTCCCTCTGTCGCCCACGCTGGAATGCAGTGGCATGATCTTGGCTCACTGCAACCTCCACCTCCCAGGTTCAAGCGATTCTCCTGTCTCAGCCTCCTGAATAGCTGGGATTACAGGCACATGCCACCATACCCGACTAATTTTTGTATTTTTAGTAGAGACAGGCTTTCACTATGTTGGCCAGGCTGGTCTCCCTTCCTGATCTCAGGTGATCCAGCCGCCTTGGTCTCCCAAAGTGCTGGGATTACAGGCGTGAGCCACGGCACGTGGCCTTTTGATTGCTTTTCCTCTTTTGAACTGGGGTTGTTCCTCCCACCACACTCCCCCATTGCAATTCTGGAAATTCTTGGTTACCAGATACTGCCAGGGCAGGTATCAGCTCCTATAGATGCTTATTCCAACGCAGTCCCATTTTCACATGGCTTCTAGAGCAAAAAATACTACCTTAACTTTCCTGTAAGCCATGAAGAGCAAAGTCTTTCAATCCCAGCACAGTGGCTTGAGTGAGAAGAGTAACAGAACAGTGACTTTGAGTGTCTGTGGTGAGAGAGAGTGGGACAGGCACTGGGAACAGGGAGGAGGGGTGGCGCCCTGCTAGACTCAAGATGAGGCTAACCATGAATGAAGAATAATAATTAACTTCACTTTCTGCACCTTAAGCTTCATCCTACCTTTAAAGTATAACTAGGAAATTATACACATTTTACTATATTGTTTATTCTAGCAGTCAAAATTTTGAGACTAGATTGTTTTTCATAGAATAATTCTATTTTTAAACACTGGTATTTAAAAGAACCCAGACATGGCCAGGTGCGGTGGCTCACACTTATAATCCCAGGACTTTGGGAGGCTGGGACGGGTGGATCACTTGAGGCCAGGAGTTTGAGACCAGCCCGGGTAACATGGCAAAACCCTATCTCTACCAAAAATATAAAAATAAGCTGGCTGTGGTGGAACGCAACTGTGGGCCCAGCTACTCAAGAGGCTGAGGCATGAGAATTGCTTGAACCCTGGAGGCAGAGGTTGCACTCAGTCAAGATTGTGCCACTGCACCTTAGCCTGGGCAACAGAGCAAGACTCTGTCTGGAAAAAAAAAAAAAAAAACCCAGATACTTCTCAATAACATTCATTAGGATGGCTACTAGCAAAATCCAAAACAAAGCAAACAGAAAATAACAAGTGTTGGTGAGGATATGAAAAAATTGGAACTAAAACAGTATAGTGATTCCTCAAAAAATTAAAGATAGAATTAGCACGAGGTCAGGAGATCAAGACCATCCTGGCCAATATGGTGAAACCCCATTTCTACTAAAATACAAAAAATTAGCCAGGCGTGGTGGTGCACGCCTGTAGTCCCAGCTACTTGGGAAGCTGAGCCAGGAGAATCACTTGTACCCAGGAGGTGGAGGTTGCAGTGAGCTGAGATCACACTACTGCACTCCAACCTGGCAACATAGCAAGACTCCGTTTCAAAAAAAAAAAAAATTATCAGGCCAGGCATGGTGGCTCATACCTGTAACCCTGCCACTTGGAGGTCAAGGGAGGAGGATCACTTGAGGCCAGGAGTTCAAGATCAGCCTGGACAACATAGCAAGATCCTATTCCTAAAAAAAAAAAAATAGCTGGGTATGGTGGCATGCACCTGTAGCCACTTGGGAGGCTGAGATGGAAGGATCACTTGAACACAGGTCAAGGCTGCAAGGAGCCAGGATCATGCCATGGCATACTCAAGCCTGTGTATGAAAGTGTGAGACCCTATCTTAAAAAAAAAATTACCTTTTGATTTAGCAACTTCATTTCTGGATATAAACCCCACATAATCGAAAGCAGGGACTGGAACACACTTGCTATACACCATGTTCATGCAGCATTATTCCTGGTAGCTAAAATGTGGAAGCAACCCAAGGGTCTACCAACAGATAAATGGATAAACAAAGTGTGGTACATATGTATCATGGAATATAAAGTCATTGGCCTTACAAAGGAAGGTAATTCTGACACATTATAACATGTATGAACCTTGAGGATATATGATGAGTGAAACAAGCCAACTGCAAAGTACCATAGGATTCCACTTATGGGAGGTACCCAGAGTAGGCAAATTCACAGAAACAGAAAGTAAAATGGTGGTTACCAAGGGCTATGGGGAGGGGAATGTGGTTTCAGTTTGGGAAGATGAAGTAGTTCTGGAGATGGATGGTGGTGACGGTTGCACAACAAGGTACATGTACTTTACATTACCGGACTATACACTTAAAAATGGTTAAGATGGTAAATTTTATGTTATATGTATATTTTGCAAAAGAACAAGAACCCAGAACTGGTTCCCCTTGTGAAGCAAATGATGGATGGAAACTCAGGGGATTTCAACATTTAAGGTTGAGGCAGAGGAAGAGGACTCTGCAAAAGAGGCTGGGAAGGGGCAGTTAGAGGTACATGGAAGACTCAGAGCAAGAAGTCATGCTCTCTAAAGATCTCCAAAGAAGAGGGCAAGGTCAAGTGTGTCAAATGCCTTGGAGAGCTTAGGCGAGATAAGGATTGAGAAGTGGCCAGAGTTTGGCAAGAATTGTTTCAGTAGAGAGATGAGGGTGGGAGTGGGCAGCCCGCAGTAGGTGGAGGAACCGTGGGGAAGACTTCAAGTCAGTGAAGTGAGGAGGCAAATGCCATCCTTGATGGTAGAGCAGCATCCAAGCCAGCCAGGGGTGGGTCGCTGGAAAGACAGATTGAGTCCATGGCTGCAGGAGGAGAATGCTAGCAGTTAAAAAGGTGAGACCCAACTAGGGGAACAGAAATGTGTAGGGGTTAAAGACCAGTGATTCTGGCTAGTAAAGGATCCTGAACCACCGAGCGCATTCATTACTGTTGCCCTTATTAATCTTAACCATTGATTATATTCACCCAGACAGGAAGCAATAGTTCTGTGTTATTTAAGTGACCAGTGAACATGAATTATTGAGAACTTACTATGGGCCATGTACTGGAGTTACAAATATAGATGCCTTCCCTTGAGTTTCTCATATCCTTTGAAATACCTGCATTGAAAAAGGCAGAGTAGGCCAGGCGCGGTGGCTCACACCTGTAATCCCAGCAACTTTGGGAAGCCGAGGCAGGCGGATCACCTGAGGTCGGGAGTTCAAGACCAGTCTGATCCGCATGGAGAAACCCTGTCTCTGCTAAAAATACAAAATTAGCTGGGCATGGTGGTGCATGCCTGTAATCCCAGCTACTCAGGAGGCTGAGGCAGGAGAACCACTTGAACCCAGGAGGTGGAGGTCACGGTGAGCCAAGATCATGCCATTGCACTCCAGCCTGGGCAACAAGAGTGAAACTCCATCTCAAAAAAAAGGCAGAGTAAACCTGGATTAATTTCCAAAGCATCAGAAACAGTAAGGAATGTAGATTTTAACAAAGTCTCACTTGTTTTTTGATATATCGGGTTCAGAGAAAAAAAAAGTCTCATGAAGTTTTGCCTTTACAATTTACATTCCCAAGATCTGAGGGGTCAAACAGAAATGAAGGCAAACTCAAATCTAGAGTTCTGTGAGAGTGGCATTTGGGTCAGGGTGGATGGAGAAATAGACCACAAGGCAGGGATGGGAAACTCGGGCTGGCAGGGCTATTGGGACAAGCTCCAAACCAAGCTTACATGGCCTTATGCCAGATGGATATGGATTACAAATGGGAAAACTGCTTTTGGTTTATTTGCTATATAGTTTTTGGAGAAAAAAGTGATTCGACTAAGAATACTAAAGGGAAATAAACTACGAGTGTTAACAGTGATTACCTCTTGGTGGAGGGATTAGGAGTGATTTGATTTTCTTCATAACTTTTCATATTTTAAATATTTGTGATGTAGAATACTAATTCTATAATCTTAGAAAAGATGCTATTTTTAGAATGCAAAAAAAAAAAAAAAAAAATCAAAAAGAGGCAGGATACCAGGAGTGGTGGCTCATGCCTGTAATCCCAGCACTTTGGGAGGAGAAGGCAGGAGGATTACTTGAGCCCAGGAGTTACAGACCAGCCTGGGCAACACAGCAAGACCTTGTCTCTACAAAATATTTAAAAAATTAGCTTGGCGCGGTGGCTCACGCCTGTAACCCTAGCACTTTGGGAGGCCGAGGCGGGCTGATTACCTGAGGTCAGGAGTTCGAGACCAGCCTGGCCAACATGGTGAAACCCCGTCTCTACTTAAAATACAATTAGCCAGGTGTGGTAGTACCCACCTGTAATCCCAGCTACTCGGGAGGCTGAGGCAGGGGAATCGCTTGAACCCGGGAGGCAGAGGTTGCAGTGAGCCGAGATCGCACCACTGCACTCCAGCCTGGGGGACAAGAGTGAGATTTCGTCTCAAAAAAAAAAAAAAAAAAAGAAAAAAGAAAAAATTAGCTGGGCATGGTGGCATGCACCTGTGGTCCCAGCTACTCTGGAGGCTGAGGTGGGAAGATCACTTGAGCACAGGAGTTTGAGGTTATAGTGAGCCTGTGATAGGTTTTGCTCTGGGAGCTGCACATTTGCAACCACTTCCTCAAGGAGATTCTGTAATAGTCCCATTCACAGACATTTTATTTTGTGCTTGTTTCTAAAAATTACTTTGAGTCATAGTCATTTACTCACCTCCATCGCTACGTGTTGACACGTGTGACAGCCAATCTGCTGTTTAATAATGTCTTTCTGCAATTAACCCTCCCACAGTGCAGCTGGGGGACGTGGATACGCGGTCCCCTCTCACAGCAGAACAGGGACGTGGGAAACTCATGCTCTTTTCAGCCATGGGTGGGAGTGCCCGGGCTCTGACTCATCCATGCACCAAACCGCTTTATCTCCTCCTTCCTCGCCCTACGCCCTCCCCATCTCGTCCTCTGTAGAAGCCAGGAGCTGAGATAAAAGTGGGCACACTGCTCCCCAGCTGCGAGGAGGCTGCGGAATTAGGAGCCAGCCTGGAACTCATAGCGCGACCCTGATAAGCTTCACGCATGCGCCATGACGTTCATCCCAGGCTTTCGGAGCCCTTGAGAAGCACTAATGTAGGAATCCTGCAGGCCCTAGGAAGTGATCTGGGCTTGTCAAAGTGGAGAAAACTGTGGCGCAATGGGGCCCAAGGTCATGATGAGTATCTTGCAAGGGGATGCTCCTGCAAGAACTCAGGACTTCTGTGTTATTTTTTAACTCTTCCATCCTCATCCTTCTTCCTGTTACTTTCTGGAATTCAGCTCATGTTTTCAGTAAGTAGGGGAAACATAACAATTCAGTACAAAATATGATCCACAAATAGACACCCACTACTTCCAGCAGCTTTTAGCAAAGCTTTTCCTCCCTAACTCTCCCAGGAGTATCTGATCTCTCAGGTTTTATTTCTTACAGTGCCAGCACCCTTTTGGAAGGCCATTGACTCACGTTGTAAGACTCTGTTTCCCAGACTTCAATGTGCATAAAAGTCACCTGGGATCTTATTAAGCTGCAGCACTTCATCCAATAGGTCTGGGTGGGGCCTGAGGTTCCGGATGTTGAAGAATCTCTCTGAGACTGCTGCTAGTCCACGGACCATACTTTGAGTGGCAAGGAGCTGGACCTAGGAAACCACCTGTAGACCATACTCCTCTTAATAAACGACATCTGGAACCTCACAGTTCCTTCCCTCACTTTCAGCTTTCTGGGAGATTATTCTGCACCTTAAATTATTCCAAGTTTAATCCTTCTGACTCTTTTGAGTCTTGCAAACCACGCTAATGTTAGCATATCACAGCACTGTGTAGAGGTAAGAAAATCATGTTTGTTTAAAAGCCTGTACTAGCTTGGGAGACAGTATTATCTCTGATTGCACTCCACACAATTAATAGACATGCTCCTTGAAGAGTAGTACCAGGTATAATTGTTTGCTAAGCAACATTCCAATGCAATAGACTGAAAAAAGAACAAAATTAATAGGAGGTCATTTGGGAGCAAAAAGAAAAATTACCTTTCAAAACAACCATCCAATGTGTCTCAAGTACATAGTCCAGGCATCTAAGAGGCTTTACACTATTGTTAGTGTCCAACATGACCTTTCGCCTCCACCGTTTTATTTATGGGCCCCGCAGTCGTCATGGCAACACTGATAACCAGCTTCTCAATGCCCAAGGAATGCCAGAGTCATCAAAGCACTCTCATTTTTTTAAGTCTTCCAGCCTGTCACCCGATAAACTAAAAGGCAGTTGAGGCTCGGAGGCACACTTTCTAAATAAGAGGGTAGATGGTAAAACAGGAGCCTCCCCTGACTGAAGACCTCAAGGCCCAGAACAGGAGACCATTACCAAAGGATGAGCCTCGGTTGCGCCCCTCTGGCACAGATACCAACTGTGCAGCCCCTAGGATAAGGACAACGTTTGCATCCAGCAGCATCTTACTGCCCACCAGCACCTCCTGAGATGAGTCTGCATGGTGAGGACCACGGAGACAGGGCTGTGAACTCATCCATCATGTTCCATCCCAAAGTGGGTGGAACAGGCGGTGGCTGAGGGGGCTCTGGTTTCATCTGTACCGCACATTTTCATTCTCTGCACAAACTCCTACAGCCCCACTACATAAAACTTCACTTCGTTCTTTAGTATTGGGAAATATTTCACCTGTACTGAAAAGTGCAGCTAATATTGCAAATATGTCTGTGCCAGCTTTATCAAACATTGATTTTGTTTAAAAGAAACAAACCTGTATGGGTATTGTTAATATTCTCTGGGTGTCCCTCCCAATCCTCTTTCTCTTCCTCTTTGCAGAGCTAACTATCATCTTGACTTTGCTATTTATCATTCCCATGCATATTTTATGCTATCGCTTCGTTATATAATAAAAATGTGTTATTGTTTTGCATGACTTTGCAGAAACAGTATCACACTGTATGCATCCACTTGCAAACTTGATTTTTTTCACTCAATGTTATGTTAGTGAGATGTATCCATGTTGATACATGTAACTCTAGTTCATTTTTTTTTTTTTTTTTTGAGAGGGAGTCTCGCTCTGTCACCCAGGCTGGAGTGCAGTGGCGCAATCTCTGCTCACTGCAACCTCTGCCTCCCGGGTTCAAGCGATTCTCCTGCCCCAGCCTCCCAAGTAGCTGAGATTACAGGCACCCGCTACCATGCCTGGCTAATTTTTGTATTTTTAGTAGAGATGGGGTTTCACCATGTTTGCCAGGCTGATCTCGAACTCCTGACCTCAAGTGATCCACCTGCCTCGGCTCCCCAAAGTGCTGGGGTTACAGGTGTGAGCCACCGTGCCCCGCCAAGTTCATTCATTTTTATTTGCTGAATAGTAATGCATTGTATGAAGAAAAATGATTTACTTGTTCATTCTCCCATTCAAGGGCATTTAAATTTCTTATTCTTTGGAGTCTAATTTGCAAACCATGCTAATGTTAGCACATCACAGCACTGTATAGAGGTAAGAAAGTCATACTTGTTTAAAAGCCTATACAAACTACGGAGACAGTATTATCTCTGATTGCACTCCACATAATTAATAGCCATGCTCTAATGGATAAGTTAGTTATTGCTTAAATTTTTCACTCTTTCAAATAAGGTGTTCACAAACATACTTGTAAATGTCTCCCTGTGCCCATGTCCCCAGGCTTCTTACCTAGGAGTGGAATTGTTGGGACACAAAGTAGGTATATCTTTAACTTAACTAGATGCCATCCTCCCTGGAGTTCTCAGTGTTCCTGAAAATTCTGGACCTTTTAAGGTCCAATTAATTTGCTCTTCCAACATCTACCAACTCACACTTCCACCAGCAGTAGGGAGAGTAGCTATCTCCTATCTCTCCACATCTTTACCAACACTTAGAATAGTCAGACTTTTTATTTTCTGGTAGTCTAGTGGAAAGCAAATTCCATCCCTACCCCTTTTATTAATTTATGTATTTTATCTTTTTTTTTTTTTTTGAGGCAGGGTCTCACTCTGTTGCCCAGACTGGAGTGCAGTGGAATGAACATGGCTCACTGCAGCCTCAGCCTCCCAGTCCCAAGCAATCGTCTCAAAGTAGCTGGGACTACAGATGCGCACCACCACGTCCAGCTAATTTTTGTGTTTTTTAGAGAGACAGGGTTTCGCCATGTTGCCCAGACTGGTCTAGAACTCCTGAGCTCAAGCGATCTGCTTTCCTCAGCCTCCCCAGTGTGTTGGGATTGTAAGCGTGACCCACTGTGCCCAGCGTATTTATTTTTAATTTTTTCAGCTTTATACTTTGTCAAGGCATACTTGACAAATAAAAATTGTCTATATTTAAGGTATACAATATGATATATATGGTGAAATGATTACCACTATCAAGCTAATTAATATATCCATCAACTCAAATGGTTATCCTTGTGTGTGTGGTGAGAACACTTAAGATCTATTCTCACAAATTTCAAGTATATAATACATTATTATTAACTATGTCAGCATGCTGTATATATGGTTTCCATCCTCCACTTTTTAAAAACAGCTTTATTGACATATAATTTATATACCATACAATTTACCCATTGAAGGTGTATAATTCAGTGACTTTTAGTATATTCACAGAATTATGCGTCCATCACCACAATTAATTGTAGAATATTTTCATTATCCCCAAAAGAAATTTCATTCCTCTTAGCTGCCACCTGCAATTCCTCTCTCCTCTCCTGAAGTCTCCCCTGCCTTAGGCAACCACTGATCCACTTCCTATGGCTATAGATTTGCCTATTCTGGACTTTTTATATAAGTAGAATTATATTTTCATTTTCTTCACAAATTCCTATAACCTGAAATGTAACACATCACACACCTTTTTGTAAATATTGGGAAATATTTCAGCATTTTATTGGTACCTATTTTAATTTAAATTTCCATTTCCCTAATTGCTAGCTAAGTCCAGCAATGTTTTCAAATGTTTATTGGCCATTTGGAATTTTTTTTTTTTTTGTGGAGACAGGGTCTTACTCTGTCACCCAGGCTGGAGGCACAATCTCAGTTCACTGCAACCTTTGCCTCCCAGGCTAAAGTGATCCTCCCACCTCAGCCTCCCGAGTAGCTGGGACTACAGGCCCACACCACCACACTGGGCTACTTTTTGTATTTTTAGTAGAAGCAGGATTTCGCCATGTTGGCCAAGCTGGTCTCGAACTCCTTACCTCAGGTGATCCACCTGCCTCAGCCTCCCAAAGTGCTGGGATTCCAGGCATGAGCCACCGCACCCAGCCTCCTCTTCTATAAACTGCCAATTTACATTCTTTTATCCAATTTTTGATAGGATTGCTTACCTTATCCTTATTTGTAGGAATTAGCTAATTAATCATATATTAATCCTTTTTGGTTATATATGTTGTAGTTCTTGTTGGAACGCCATCCTCCCTGGAGTTCTCAGTGTTCCTGAAACTTCTGGACCTTTCTGAGAAACAGAGAGTGACATGCTAAAAAGATAACGAATGCCTCCTTTTCCCCAGAACCATTTGCTTGCATTCCAAAGGATTGTAAAACCCCAGAGACCTTCCTCTCCTTTCTCCGGAATGGATTTGTGTTTGCCTTGGAGATCAAAGGTCTTTCCCTCCGCCTCCAGAGTGAGTGAGAGGCCCAGACATGCCAGCAGCATCTGGCTGTGCTCTGAGATGCATCATTTCCAAGCTCTTGCCTGTGGCACAGAGGCCTGTATCTGCAGGGTACATCTGGGTCACACTGTGCTGCCCTGTGGGAAACTGAGGGATGGGGAGTTGGCAATCAGACTGCTATTCGAGCAAATAATTGGTCTGTTTTCTGATCCAGAAACTTTGTTTCCAGACAGGATAAATCAATGAATATAGATATAAAAACCAAACAGATGTCTTCTCCTAGTCCATAGCTTGTCTTTTCCCATTGTTTGTGTTGTCTTTTTTAAAATATTGTGGTAAAATATATATACATAAAATTTACCATCTAAACTTTTTTTTTGAAACTCACTCTGTCACCCAGGCTGGACTGCAGTGGCACCATCTTGGCTCACTGCAACCTCTGCCTCCTACGTTCAAGCGATTCTCGTGCCTCAACCTCCTGAGTAGCTGGGACTACAGGCCCACACCAGCACACCTGGCTAATTTTTGTTTTTTTAGTAGAGGTGGAGTTTCACCATGTTGGCCAAGCTGGTCTTGAACTCCTGATTTTCCACCCGCCTCAGCCTCCCAAAGTGCTGGGGTTACAGGCGTGAGCCACCGCACCCGGCCTTAACTATTTTTAACTGCACAGTTCAGCGGCATTATGTACATTCACAATTTTGTGCAACCAACACTACCACCCATCTCCCGAATTTTTTCTTCTTCACAAGCGGAAACTGTCCCCATTAAACACTAACTCCCCTTTCTCTCCTCCCCAGTCCCCTGGCAACCATCATTCTACTTTCTGTCTCTATGAGTTTGACTACTGTAAGGACCTGATCTAAGTGGAATGACAATATTTGTCCTTTTGTGTCTGGCCTTTTTCACTAAGCATAATTTCCTCAAGGTTCATCCATGTCGTAGCCTGTGTCAGAATTTCCTTGCTTTTTAAAAAAGTTGTGGCAAAATATACATCACATAAAATTTATGTCTTAATCATTTTGAAATGTACATTTCAGGGGCATTAAGTACATTCGCATTGTGATGCTACCATCACCACTAGCTATCCACAGAACTCCTTTTCATGTTGCAAAACTGAAACTGTTAACATTAAATAATAACTCCCCATTCTCCCTTCCCCCCAGCTCATTTCTTTTTAAGGCTGAATAATTTTATTTTTATTTTATTTTTTTAGAAACAGAGTCTCTCTGTTGCCCAAGCTGGAGTGCAGTGGTGTGATCATAGCTTACTGCAGCCTTGATCTGCCCCGGTCCAAGCAGTCTTCCTGCCTCCGTCTCCCAAGTAGCTGGGAATACAGGTGTGCACCAACACACCTGGATAATTTTTTTTTTGAGATGGAATCCCACTCTATCACCTGGGCTGGAGTGCAGTGGCATGATCTCAGCTCACTACAACCTCTGCCTCCCAGG
The DNA here is from genome assembly GCF_000001405.40 of Homo sapiens. Taxonomy (NCBI): domain Eukaryota; kingdom Metazoa; phylum Chordata; class Mammalia; order Primates; family Hominidae; genus Homo; species Homo sapiens. Next base: position 7,462,536 of record NC_000006.12, on the reverse strand, counting down.
TTCAAATGATTCTCTTGTCTCAGCCTCCCGAGTAGCTGGGATTACAGGTACCTGCCACCACTCCTGGCTAGTTTTTGTATTTTTAGTAGAGACGGGATTTCACTGTGTTAGCCAGGCTGGTCTCAAACTTCTGACCTCAAGTGATCCACCTGCCTTGGCCTCCCAAAGTGCTGAGATTACAGGCGTGAGCCACTGCACCCGGCCTAATTAATTTATTTTTTTGTAGAGAGGGGCCTCCCTATATTGCCCAGGCTGGTCTCAAACTCCTGGGCTCAAGCGTTCCTCCGGCTCGTCCTCCCAAAGTGCTGGGATTACAGGTGTGGGCCACCGTGCCCAGCCCCAAAGCTGAATATTAAATCTATTGTACACGTATAGAACATTTTGTTTATCCATTTATCTATTAATAGACAGACATGTGGGCAGCTTCCACCCTTTGACTATTGGGAATAATGCTGCTATAAAAATTGGCATACAGTATCTGTTTGAGTTTCTGCTTTTTTTTTTCTTTCTTTCTTCTGAAATAGGGTCTCACTCTGTCGCCCAGGCTGGGGTGCAGTGGTGTGATCACAGCTTACTGCAACCTCTGCTTCCTGGGCTCAAGTGATCCTCCTCAGCCTTGTTTATGCTGTCTTTTAACAAAAATAAATAAATAAAATAAAATAATATTAACACATTTACTTTTTCTACCCTTCCTTGATGGTCTGTGCTTTTTACGTCCCGTAAAACATCATTTTTAAATGTACCACGCTTGCTCGGATGGCCTGCCTGGTTTCTGGTTCCCATTGCCCCATAGTCATAATGCTGAGACTATTTACCCCCACCTCAGGATCTAGACCAATGCTGGCTGAATCACAGCATTGCCCTCACAGCCATGAGCCCATTGGCAAACACAGAGCTCATTAGCCACAGAGTGGCTAGTCACACTCAAGCCTCCATTCCTGGGTCCACTAATCAGCCTCTCCTGACAGCATTCCTTGGGTCCAGCCCTAGTCAAGTAACTCCGATGTCAGGCCCGTTGCTCTTAGCTGAGCCTGTCTGTTCTCAGGGGTTCTTCTAATGAATGGAGTCTTGTACCTGAACTCAATCCCAGGATTGAGTGTGGTTGTTTCCTGTGCCTGGACCTCCACAAGCCCTCTTCAGATCATGATTGTCTGCATTCTACTCACCTGCCAGGACCTTCTCCAACTGCTTGTGCCAGAGATCTTTCCTAAGCCTACTTCCTGGGTCAGGGAGGTTTAGGTGACCAGGGTCCTGGGGTCACAGCCTCCTCCCCAGTGCTGTTTAGACTATAACTAGAGGTGCCGACATTCTTCATGCGCACAAAATCATCATAGTCATTCCACAATTTGTATACAATGTACTATGTGCCAAGCACTGCTTGGATGCAGGCAGGTAAGACCCACACCCTCACGGTGCTTACAGCATGGTTGATGCCAAAATAATTCACTGGGAGGTCATTAGGCTGAGAAGACTCCAGCACCTTGGGTTCCTACCTAGCAAACTGAAACCCAACTCCCTGTAAATGGTCATATTCTAGGCATCACAAACTGCCAACTAACCTCTAACAAGATTTTACACAGAAATGAATTTATTTGTTTTGCTTCCGTGTTCACCCTGTAAAAGCCTTCCCCTAGTACCTCTTTGAGGGAAGCCCCAAATTACCTGTGGTCTTTGAACTGCCAGATTCATGAATTACCGTTTGCCAAATAAACTTTTTTTTTTTTCTTTTTTTGAGACGGAGTCTCGCTCTGTCGCCAGGCAGAAGTGCAGTGGCACAATCTTGGCTCACTACAGCCTTTGCCTCCTGGGTTCAAGCAATTCTCCTGCCTCAGCCTCCCGAGTAGCTGGGATTATGGGCACCCGCCACCGCGCCCAGCTAATTTTTGTATTTTTAGTAGAGACGGGGTTTCACCATGTTGGCCAGGATGGTCTTGATCTCTTGACCTCATGATCCACTTGCCTCGGCCTCCCAAAGTGCTGGGATTATAGGCGTGAGCCACCACACCTGGCCCAAATAAACTTTTTAATATTTTAGTGTGCTTCAGTTTACCTTTTAACATTGAAGATCAGAGAATAAATAAGTAAACAAAAGAAATTGTTGCAATATAGGCTAAGGCTGTAATGGTTCTAAACAGGTGATAGGCTAGAGAATCACTTGGCCACGGAAATGCTGAGTCTAAGGTGTTTGGGGAATGCCTCTTTGAGGAGAAGATATGAGATCTGAGAGCTAAAGGTGGGGAAGGAGCTGGAGGAGGAGCATGCTAGGCAGAGGCTGACAGCAACTGCAAAGGCTTTCAAAGCCAGCAGGAGAGTCAACGTGCTGCTGCCTGGGCCGAACCACAGCTCCCAAGCCTATGCCAAGGAGCCCCAGTTCACCAGCAGTGCAGCCAGCTTTGCGATCCCCATGGCACTGCCTCCTTGTTTGAAGGCCCCTCATCTTCACCTGGCCCTCCCAAGATCTCATCTCCAAGGTGGGCCTCAGCCAAGCGGCCGTGACCATTGCTGTTTCCAAGAAACTAATTCGACAAGATTTTAGGAGCTAATAGATGATCAGCCTTAACGATGCAAATGTAAATAAGCAAAAGAATTGAAAGCAGGCCCAAGGCAGTGGCTCATGCCTTAACCCTAGCACTCTGGGAGGCCAAGGCAGGAGGATCGCTTGAAGCCAAGAGTTGGAAACCGGCCTCGGCAACATAGTGAGACCCCATCCCTACAAAATAAGAAAAATTAGCTGAGCATGGCAGTGTGCCCCTGTGGTCCTAGCTACTCAGGAGGCTGAGGTGGGAGGATCACTTGAGCCCATGATCACACGACTGCACTCCAGCCTGGGCGACAGAGCAAGACCCTGTCTCAAAAAAAAAAAAAAAAAAAAAATTAAAAGCAGAGTCTTGAAGAGATATTTGTCCACTGATGTTCACAGCAGCATTCCTCACAGTAGCCAAAAGATGAAAACAAGCCAAGTGTTACACATAGACAGTACCGTATTCAAAATGTAATACTGAGATGTTTCAGACTATAAAAGGAAGGAAATTTTTTTTTTTTTTTTGAGACGGAGTCTCGCTCTGTCACCCAGGCTGGAGTACAGTGGCACAATCTTGGCTCACTGCAACCTCCGACTCCCTGGTTCAAGCGATTCTCCTGCCTCACCTCCTGCATAGCTGGGATTACAGGCACACACCACCATGCCCAGCTAATTTTTGTATTTTTAGTAGAAAAGGGGTTTCACCATGTTGGCCAAGATGGTCTCGATCTCCTGACTTCATAATCTGCCCACCTCGGCCTCCCAAAGTGCTGGGATTACAGGCGTGAGCCACTGCCCCCAGCAGGAAATTCTTATAGTCTACAACATGGATGAATCTTGGAGAACATTATGCTCAGTGAAATAAATCAATCACAAAAGGACAAGTACTGTATGATTCTACTTATATGAGGTTCCTAGAGTAGATTCATAGAGACAGAAAGAATTGGTGTTGTCAGGGGCTAAGGGGAGGAGGAATGGGGAGCTATTGTTTAATGGGTACACATTTTTGGAAGATGAAAAAGTTCTGGCAATGGAGGGTTTTGATGGTTGTACGGCAGTGTGAATGTACTCAATGCCACTGTCTTCTGAGAACCGCAAAAACTCTCGGCCTGAAAAACTTCATCTAAATCTGTCTCTTGAGAGCTTTGACCAAACTCTGACATGGCTTCTAGCAGCCTACAGCCTGAGCTCTGGGAAAATCCAGCCCCCCTTGAGTTCGTCTGGAAAAACTCAAGGTTGACAACTGATCTGACTGTTCCAGGCACCTGATGATAGACCCCTGACCTCCCTTTCTTAGAAAGACTGATTTTTTTTTTGAGACAGGGTTTCACTTTCGTTGCCGAGGTTGGAGTGCAATGGCGTCATCTCAGCTCACTGCAACCTCTGCCTCCCAGATTCAAGCAATTCTCCTGCCTCAGCCTCCCAAGTAGCTGGGATTACAGACGCCTGCCACCACACCCAGCCAATTTTGTATTTTTAGTAGAGATGTGGCTTCACCATGTTGGTCAGGCTGGTTTCAAACTCCTGACCTCAGGTTATCCACCTGCCTTGGCCTCCCAAGGTGCTGGGATTACAGGCATGAGCCACCATGCAGAGCCCTACAGTGCCCTTTCAGCATTGCCATCTGTAGATGGATGGCATAGGTGTTAACCAGTTCAGTGGATCCTCTGCTTTTTTGCAAAGGCAGAGAGCCAGTGTGACAGCTTTCCGTATCCCAAGCTCTTGTCCAGTGTACCATAAGAATCAGGTCACACATGGACTTGAAGAATGAATGCAACCGTCTCATTGAGTGGTGGAGGTGGCTCAGCTGGATGGATTGAGAGGTGGAAGGACAGGACGGAAAGATGATCTTCCTGTGGAATTTTGCCGCCCAACAGCCAATCTCTTCTCTGACCATCCCCAGCCTAACTCCTCTCAGCATTTACATGCACTTTCTCTTTGCTCTGCCGTGCCATGCTGCCATTTGCTTATCTCCTTACCTGCTTCAGGAGCCTGGCATTTAGGATTTATATAGGTACAGGATAGGGGGTGTGGCAAGCCAAAAAACACCTTTTAGACATAACAGGAATGCCTGTCCTCATTTAGAAACAGCCACCCAGGATTGAGGCTGGGGCCTTACTAAGCATGGAACCTCCCTCTTCTAACCAGCACTTGGCTCCCATTTTTATCACTACTACTCAAGTAGGCTTATCAGACCTTTAAAATTGGGTCTGGAATTAGCAGGTTCTTGGTCTCACTGCCTTGAAGAACAAGACCACAGACCCTCACGGTGACTCTTACAGTTCTTAAAAGTGGTATATCTGGAATTTATTCCTTCTGATGGATGGATGTGCTCAGCTTCCTCCTTCTGGCAAAACACGCAGGAACAAAGCTAAAGACCTTATCCGTGTTACAGCTGTTAATATAGTGTAGCCAGAGTCGTTCGTTCTTCCTGGTGGTTTCGTAGTCTCGCTGGCTTCAAAAGTGAAGCTACAGACTTTCACAGTGAGCGTTATAGCTCACAAAGGTAATAGAAACATATACACCAACCTGCAGCAAGACATCACAAAACACACCCCTTCCATTATCGGCAAAGTAACTCAAAAGGGTCGCAACTACTGGTTTGGGCGCCTGCTTTTCTTCTCTTATCTGGCCCCACCCACATCCTGCTGATTGGTCCATTTTACAGAGAGCCGATTGGTCCATTTTGACAGGGTGCTGATTGGTGCGTTTACAATCCCTGAGCTAGACACAAAAGTTCTCCATGTCCCCACTAGATTAGCTAGTACAGAATGTCAATTGGTGTATTTCCAAACCTTGAGCTGGATACAGTGCCGATTGGTGCATTCACAATCCCTTAGCTAGACACAAAGATTCTCCAAGTCCCCACCAGATCAGCTAGACACAGAGCGCTGATTGGTGCATTGCCAAACCTTGAACTAGATACAGAGTGCCAATTGGTGCATTCACAATCCCTTAGCTAGACATAAAGGTTCTCCAAGTCACCACCAGATCAGCTAGACACAGAGTGCTGATTGGTGCATTTACAAACCTTGAGCTAGATACAGAGTGCCGATTGGTGTATTCACAATCCCTTAGCTAGACATAAAGATTCTTCAGGCCCCCACCAGATTAGCTAGGTACAGAGTGCCGATTGGTGCATCCACAAACCCTGAGCTAGACAGGGTGCTGATTGGTGTATTTACAATTCCCTAGCTAGACGTAAAGATTCTCCAAGTCCCCACCAGACTCAGGAGCCCAGCTGCCTTCACCTGGCGCATCCCGCACCCGGGCCGCAGGGGGAGTTGCCTGCCAGTCCCGCGCCGTGTGCCCGCACTTCTCAGCCTTTGGGCGGTCAATGGGACTGGGCACTGTGGAACAGGGAGCGACGCTCATAGGGCAGGCTCCAGCGGCGCAGGAGTCCACGGCGGGGTGGGGGGAGGCTCAGGCATGGCGGGCTGCAGGTTCCGAGCCCTGCCCCGCGGGGAGGCAGCTAAGGCCCAGCGAGAAATTGAGCACAGCAGCTGCTGGCCCAGGTGCTAAGCCCCTCACTGCCCCGGGCCGGCGGGGCCAGCCGGCCGCTCTGAGTGAGGGGCCCGCCGAGCTCACGCCCACCCAGAACTCGCGCTGGCCCGCAAGCGCCGCGCAGCCCCGGTTCCCGCCCGCGCCTCTCCCTCCACACTTCCCCGCAAGTTGAGGGAGCTGGCTCTGGCCTTGGCCAGCCCAGAAAGGGGCTCCCACAGTGCAGCGGTGGGCCGAAGGGCTCCTCAAGCACGGCCAGAATGGGCGCCAAGGCCGAGGCCCCGAGAGCGAGCGAGGGCTGTGAGGACTGCCAGCACACTGTCACCTCTCAAAATTAAGAGTGGTTGGATGCAGTGGCTCATACTTATAATCCCAGCACTTTGGGAAGTCAAGGAGGACGGACTCCTTGAGGTCAGGAATTGGAGACCAGCCTGGGGAACATAGCAAAACCTTGTCTCTACAAAAAACACAAAAATTAGCCAGGTGTGGTTGTGCACGCCTGTAGTGCCAGCTACTCGGGAGGCTGAGGTGGGGGGATTACTTGAGCCTGGGAGGTCAAGGGAGGCTACAGTGAGCCTGTCATCCAGCCTGGGTGACAGAGCGAGACCCTGCCACCAAAAAAAAAAAAAAGAAAATAATTTTTTAAAAAAATGTTTTTTGAGACAGAATTTTGCTCTTGTCGCCCAGGCTGGAGTGCAATGGCGCGATCCTGGCTCACTGCAACCTCCACTTCCCGGTTCAAGCGATTCTCCTGCCTCAGCCTGCTGCGCAGCTGGGATTACAGGCACCCGCCACCACGCCCAGCTAATTTTTGTATTTTTAGTAGAGACGGGGTTTTGCCATGTTGGCCAGGCTAGCCTCCAACTTCTGACCTCAGGTGATCCGCCTGCCTTGGCCTCCCAAGGTGCTGGGATTACAGGCATGAGCCACCACGCCCAGCCCGAAAGAAGAGATTTGGGGTACTGCTATACTCCAGGCACATTTGCACCCAACCGTGGGCGATGCCAGAGGCACAAGGGCTTTGAGTGATTGAGATTCATCCCAGCTGTAATTTCTACAGATACTGTGTTGTTCTATTGCTGTATAACAATTACCCCAAAACCAAACAGCTTGAAACAACAATAAACACTTTTTAGCTCACACGATTCCTGTGGATCAGGAAGTTGGGAATGGCTTGTCTAAGCAGTTCTGGCTCAGGGTCATTCATGAGGTTGCAGTCAAGAATCAACCAGGGCTGCTGTCATCTGAAAGCCTGGCTAGGGCTGGAGGACCTACTTCCGAGATGGCTCAGTGGTATGGCTACAGGCAGGAGGCCTCAGTTCCTCACATGTGAATCTCCTCATAAGGCTGCTTGAGTGTCCTCACAACGTGGCAGCTGACTTACCCCAGAACAAGTGGTTTGAGAGAGCGAGGAAGCTCCAATGCCTTTGTGACCTGGTCTGGGAAGCCACACATCCTCACTTCTGCATACTCTACTCATTGGCAGTCAGTCACCAAGTCCAAGCCAAACACAAGGGGAATTAAGCTCCACCTATTAAAGAAAAGAGTATCAAACAATATGCAGACCCCACAGGGACCAGTTTCTTTCTCATGCTGAGAGAGAAGAGGGAGGGAAAACGGGAGGAGGAGGTGCTAACGCTGACAGTGCTGAAGGTGGGGGGACAAACAGAGCCATCAGTGAGGCTGGTATCCAAACCACCAACCCTGGAATTATGCCTTAGGCCAAGTCTGGTGAGATACTTAGATGCTTGATTTCAAGAGCAGGAGGGAATCAGAAAAAAATTAGTGGATGGTAGTCTTCTTTATAGAAAAAATTGGGAACATATCAGAAGGTCTTGTAGGATAAAGCTATTAAAGACTTAATGAAATGCTCCAAAGAACACACAGAGAGAACAAGCGTCTGGGGATCACAAACACACAATTATTAAATACTGGTTAATATTTGAAAATTAAAAGGCAAGGAATTTTTTTTTTTTTTGAGACAGAGTCTTGTTCTGTTGCCCAGGCTGGAGTGCAGTGGTGCAATCTCAGCTCATGGCTCACTGCAGCCTCCACCTCCTGGGTTCAAGCAATTCTCATGCCTTAGCCTCTTGAGTAGCTGGGATTACAGGTGTGTGCCACCACACCCAGCTGATTTTTTGTAGAGATGGGGTTTCACTATGTTGCCCAAGCTTGTTTTGAACTCCCGGGCTCAAGTGATCCACCCACAGCAGCCTCCCACAGTGCTGCATTTACAGGTGTGAGCTACTGCGTGCAACCAAAATTATTTGTAAGTAAGATTCCTAGAAACCACAGAAGAAAAAAATCAATCCAACCTCTGAAAAAAAATTTTTTTTTAAAGATCCTTGGAAAACTTATCTTCCAAATCCCTATCACAGACAAAGACATATAAGGGCTCCTGAAAATTAATAATAAACTGAACAAACTCAATAAAATAATGGGCAAAGTAGCTCATAGAAAAGGCTCTTCACATCAGAAAATCTGTCAACTTCTCTCATAACAATAAAATGCCAAGTTAATGGCCAGGTGAGGTGGCTCACGCCTGCAATCCCAGCACTTTGGGAGGCCGAGGTGGGCAGATGACTTGAGCCCAGGAGTTCTAGACCAGCCTGGCCAACATGGCGAAACCCCGTCTCTACAAAAAATACAAAAATTGGCTGGGTGTGGTGGTGTGCACCTGTAGTCCCAGCTACTTGGGAGGCTGAGGCAGAGAATCGCTAGAACCCAGGAGGTGGAGGTTGCAGTGAGCCAAGATCGCACCACTGTACTCCAGCCTGAGTGACAGAGTGAGACTCTGTCTCAAAAAAAAAGAAAAGAAAAGACAAAGTTAAAACCCCCCAACTGAGACACATTTATTCATCATTTAGTTTGGCAGGGTGAAAATGTTAACAACATATTGACAGTATCTGGGGACAGGAGCATTCATCCATTGCTGGTGGGAGTGTAAACCCACGCCTATATCTGTGAAAGGAGACTAGAAAATATCCACCAAAACTACAAGTGCACATACCCCTTAATCACAATCCCACTTCTAAGAATTTAAGCCTACAGATAACCTCCTGTATGGGTGAAATCATGTATGAAGGAAATTATTCACTGAAGTCTGAAAGGATTGGAAAGAACCAAATTTCCATCAAGAGTGGGCCAGTTAAGCTGGGCTTGGTGGCTCACACCTGTAATCCCAGCACTTTGGGAGACCGAGGCAGGAGGATCACTTGAACTCGGAAGTTAGAGACCAGCCTGGGCAACAGGGAGACCCCAGTCTCTACAAATAATTTTTAAAAAATTAGCCAGGCATTGTGGCATGTGCCAGTGGTCCCAGCCACTTGAGAGTCTGAGGTAGGAGGATCACCTGAGCCTGGGAGGTAAACGGGAGAGTTCCCTGGCCCCCCTCACAGGGCATGTGACAGGGGTGCGGCTCTCTGTTTGACCGCCCACTGCAAGCTCAAACTTCTTGCAGGAGGGGAAGCATGCAGATGGGCAGGGGCGTGAGCCACAGCGAGCACTTTGGGCTCCAGCCCTGCAGTAGTGTCTGGGGGTGGGGGGGTGCCTGCAACCCCAGTGTCCCAATGCTCTTTTAGTTCTGCCATCCACAGACAGCTTAAGTATCAACCAGCTCAGGGCCCCTCTGCCTTTCTGCAAGGGCAGAGGGCCAGTGTGACAGCTTTCTGTATCCCAGGTTCTTGTTTAGCATCCCAGAAGAATTGGATCACACATGGACTTGAAGGATAAATGTGGGGCTTTTATTGAGTGGTGGAAGTGGCTCTCAGTGGGATGGATGGGGAGCTGGAGGGGGAATGGAGTGGGAAGATGATCTTCCCCTGGAGTTTGGCCGTCCAGCAGCCGAACTCCTCTCGACGTTCAGACGTTCCTTCTCTTCTCTCTTTCTCTGCTGCATTGTTCCGCTGTTCGTCTGCTTGTCTCCTCATCTCCTTGTCTCTCTCTGGAGCCTGGAATTTGGGGTTTATATGGGTACAGGATAGGGAGCATGTGGGCCAAAAGTCAACTTTTGGGGTGCAAAAACAGAAATGCCTGTTCCCATTTAGGGCCATGGGTATCCAGGCTTGAGGGTGGGGCCTTTGCTGGGGAACTGTCCTCTTCTACCCAGTATTTCCCTGTCTCCTGTCCATAGTAGGAGTTTGAGGCCACAGTGAGCCATGATGATCACACCACTACACTCCAGCCTAGCCGACAGAGAGATATCCTGTCTCAAAAAAAAAAAAAAAAAAAAAGAAGAAGAAGAAGAAGAAGAGTGGGCCAATTAAACAAATGACACATGTAATCCAAAGGCATATGTTTGGACAAATGGCAGAGATCTACATGCACTGATATGAACAAGGTTTCAACCAAATGTGTTGGCTAGTGAAATAAGCAAGGTACAGAACCATGTGAATGTCACTATTTATTTAAAAAGAGCAAGGGAAGAATATTTGTTTGTACTTATTTGCTTGTGTGCACAAAATCTGTGAAAGTCACACAAGAAACTGGTAATATTGCTTACTTTTTGAGTAGCTTGGGAATGACGAGGATGGGAGAAAGAATTTTCACTTTACATCCTTTTATATATTGAATTTTGAATCATGTGACCGTAATACTATTTCTAGGAAGAAAAAATAAATAAATACAAACAAAATGAGTAGGGCCAAAGTTGAAAAGTATAGTCACACAAACACAACATTTTTTAAAAGTTGAGATAGTAGTCACATAAAATTTACCCTTTTAAAGTGTACAGTTCAGTGATTTTTGGGTACAGACACAGGTGTACAACCATCACTGTGTAATTCCAGAACGTTTCCATCACCCCAAAGGGAAACCCTAAACCCTTTAGCAGTCACTTCCCATTCCCTCTTCCCTCTAGTCCCTGGCAACCACCAATTTGTCCTCTGTATCTATGGATTTGCCCATTCTGGACATTTCTTAAAAAGAGAATCATACAATATGTCATCTTTTGTGGCTGGCTTCTTTCACTCAGCATCATGTTTTCAAGATTCAGCTATGTTGTTGCATGTTGCAAAAGAACTTACTCATTTTTAAGGCTGAATAATAATCTGTTGTTTGCATACCCACATCCACTTATTAGCCGATGGACATCTGAGTTGTTTCTGCTTTTCAGCTATCGAGAATAATGTTTCAGCCAGGCACGGTGGCTCATGCCTGTATTCACAGCACTTTGGGAGGCTGAGGCAGACCATTTAAGGTCAGGAGTTCGAGACCAGCCTGACCAACATGGTGAAACCCTGTCTGTGCTAAAAATACAAATATTAGCCAGGTGTAACACCTGTTACAGGCATGCACCTGTAACCCCAGCTGCTCGGGAGGCTAAGGCAGGAGAATCACTTGAACCCAGGAGGCGGAGGTTGCAGTGACTGAGATTGTGCCATTGCACTCCAGCCTGGTGACAGAGCAAGACTCAGTCTCAAAAACAAAAAAGGGAGAATAATGTTTCAGAAATGCAAAATTTTGATCCACATCCATTCCAAGCTATCCTAATACTCAAAACAAGAATTGGGTGGCATTACTGCCACATGATGGATCTCTTCTATATACATTTTAAAACACATTTAAAATACATGCTGGTCTAGCTATGAAGAGTCCAAGTTGGCTGGGCGCGGTGGCTAACACCTGTAATACCAGCACTTTGGGAGGCTGAGGTGGGTGGGTTACCTGAGGTCAGCTCAAGACCAGCCTGGCCAACATGGTGAAACACTGTCTCTACTAAAAATACAAAAATTAGCCGGGCGTGGTGGCGCATGCCTGTAATCCCGGCTACTCGGGAGGCTGAGGCAGGAGAATTGCATGAACCCACGAGGTGGAGGTTGCAGTGAGCCGAGATCGCGCCACTGCACTCCAGCCTTGGTGACAAAGCACAACTCCATCTCAAAAAAAAAAAAAAAAAAAAAAAAAAAAAAAAAAAAAAAAAAGAAAGCAAGCAAAGAGTCAAAGTTTCACTTAAGGCAAATCTTTTCTTTCCTGTTCCATACACCTCTCACCCACCCTCCTCAGGTCTTCTCATCTTTTCCTTTCTCCTGCTGCTGCTGCTGCTGCTGTCCTCAGATGCCCTTTCTCTCTCCCAGACCTTCTCTCCTCTCCCTCCTACAGAACACCTTTACCGTGCATTTTTTCATTCTCCCATCTGTTTGCCAACATGCACAATCATCATTGCCAAATGAAGTCATCCTGGAAAAAATTAAAAAGCTGGCCCACCCAAGCTTTATTTAAACAGTCGTTTTTGCCATGAGCTCTTTGCCTGTAGGCCAAGAGGTTTGTTGAAACCCATCCTGTCCGCAGTCTTGGGGAAGTGGGAAGCTGTGGTGTTTTCAAGCCCTGGCTTACTGAGCGCCAAGAAACTCAATCTCGCTTTTTTTTTTTTTTTTTTTAAGACTAGTTGAAGCTGGTCAAGTGGAGCACTGTGGGTGGAGAACCAAGACTCTCTTAACAGAGATTAGGGTCAGCAGCAACTGGACAATGTTTAGCTCCAGATAAATTCTGGAGGAGCTGCCGGGCGCAGTGGCTCATGCCTGGAATCCCAGCACTTTGAGAGGCCGACGTGGGTGGATCACAAGGTCAAGAGTTCAAGACCAGCCTGACCAACATGGTGAAACCCCGCCTCTACTAAAAATACAAAAATTAGCCGGGTGTGGTGTTGCACACCTGTAATCCCAGCTACTCAGGAGACTGAGGCAGGAGAATCACTTGAACCCGGGAGGCGGAGGTTACAGTGAGCGAAGATCGTACCACTACACTCCAGCCTAGCCAACAGAGGGAGACTCCGTCTCAAAAAAAAAAAAAAAAAAAAAAATCTGGAGGAGATCTAGGAAAAGTCACACACATGTGCAGACACACAACACACACATACGTGAGCCCTCCCGAGGAATCCCTGCTGGGAGTCTCTCCTGGGAGTCAGAGTAAACAAAACCAAATCAATAACACAAAAGATAAGGGCTCCCAGTCTTTCATTGCCATCTGATTTCCAGAGAGAATTCCACTCACAGGGGGAGAGAAGGCCGAATTTACAAGAAAGGCATCCTTAGGAGTGAAAGGTCAGTTTCAGATCAATTCCTGTTCAGAATATGAGGCCATTCTACTATGGCCTAAGTGAAACTCATGTGGATTTTAAAATTATACATGGTAGCCGGGCGTGGTGGCTCATACTTGTAATCCCAACACTTTGGGAGGCCAAGGCAGGAGGATTGCTTAAGACCAGAAGTTGGAGACCAGCCTGGCCAATATAGTGAGACCTTGTCTCTATAAATAATTAAAAAGTTAGCTGGACATGGTGGTGCGTGCCTGTGATCCCATCTACTTAGGAGGCTAAGGTGGAAGGATCACACAATTGAGGCTGCAGTGAGCCGTGATGGTGCCACTGCACTTCAGCCTGGGCAACAGAGCAAGATCCTGTCTCAAAAGAAAAAAAAACTAACAAAAAAATAAATTTTACATATCATTGCCCTATCAGTGGCTAAAATATTTTTTTTATTTTTTGTTTTTATTTTTATTTTATATATATTTTTTGAGACAGAGTATCGCTCTTGTCACCCAGGCTGGAGTGCAATGGCACAATATCGGCTCACTGAAACCTCCGCCTCGAGGGTTCAAGCAATTCTCCTGCCTCAGCCTCCCAATTAGCTGGGATTACAGGCACCCACCACCACGCCCGGCTAATTTTTGTATTTTTAGTAGAGACGGGGTTTCATCACGTTGGCCAGGCTGGTCTCAAACTCCTGGCCTCAAGTGATCCACCCGCCTCCGCCTCCCAAAGTTCTAGGATTACAGACGTGTGTCACCGTGCCCAGCCAGTGGCTAAAATATTCTTTAATGGAAAATAGACACATTTTTTTAACCTGCATCTTTTGCTTTGGGAGCGGCAGTGTCATCTCCCCTGCACTACTGGGACAGTCCTAATTGGCCTCTCCTCCTCTCATCTAACCCAGTCCAGTCCACCCTACACAGCGGCGCAAGCTGACCTTCCCCCCACATTGCCCTGTCAATCCCCTGCTCCAGAACATTCTGTGACTCTCTGGTACCAACAGGACAAAGTCCCAATTCTCAGCCTCGTGTGTGGACAGACAGGACCCTGGCTATCTTTCCACCGTCCTCCCACACACACCTGACTCCAACCCAACAGGCTGACTCCCTTTCATCTGAACACTACAAGCGCATGCTAGCCCCACACTCTCTACTCTCTGTCTAGAAGGCTCTTCATTGCCTCATTCAACAAACATTTACAAAGTCCTCACTATGTACCAGGAGGCAGACTTTACAATGAGACAGCTCATGAGGGCGGCCCACCGGGAATCAGGCAGCTGTGACCCCCATGAGAAGTGGTATGGGGCTGGGGGCTGGAGAGCAGAGTTGGGGGTTGGACAGAGAAAGGCAACTTCAGTTACACTTCTCAAGCACTTTCTAACAACTGTTATTTAGGAATAGATATTGAAGGTCTGAAAAGGACACGGACAGCCAGCGAGTGACCAAGGTCTGAGGCAGGAAAATAGGGTCTGGAGGCAGGGAACATAAGGCCAATTCACACTTCCGCTATGACAGAAAATATCCTCTCCCTAGTAAATGACTTTGTAACATTACTTCAACCTCTTCATTTACATAGGGCATACCCCAAGTCCTCTACAGGGTATTTAAACTCCCCAAAATTCTGTAACGGGGCCTTTGAGCCCCTATGCTCAGGCCCACTCCCACGCTGTCGAGTGTACTTTCTTTTTTTTTTTTTTGAGATGGAGTCTTGCTGTGTCGCCCAGGCTGGAGTGCAGTGGCACAATCTCAGCTCACTGCAAGCTCTGCCTCCCGGGTTCCCACCATTCTCCTGCCTCAGCCTCCCGAGTAGCTGGGACTACAGGCACCTGCCACCACGCCCGGCTAATTTTTTTTTTTTTTTTTTTTTTGTATTTTTAGTAGAGACAGGGTTTCACCGTGTTAGCCAGGATGGTCTCGATCTTCTGATCTTGTGATCCACCCGCCTCAGCCTCCCAAAGTGCTGGGATTACAGGCTTGAGCCACAGCGCCTGGCCTGAGTGTACTTTCATTTTCAATAAACCCCCTTCATTTCTTCCTTGCTTTGTGCGTTTTGTCCAATTCTTTGTTCAAGATGCCAAGAACCTGGACACCCTCCACTGGTGACAGGTCTATGTGCCACAGCGCACCTCACGAGGCCACCTCTGCACAGAACCTTCCCAGATCAGGGCAACCCTAAGTGACCACTTCTGGGGAACAGAGGCTCTTCCGTTCTGTTTCCTTTGGCCAGGAACGACAGCAGGTAGCCTTGTTTGCAGTGTTTCTAAACCTTTGCATGCATGTTCCATCTTGCTCCCCAGCTGGACATGTTCCTGTGGGCAGGGCATAGTTTCATCCACACTAATTTGTACAGAGTAGGCAGTCAATAAAAATATCTGCTGAATGAATAGTGAATGAATGTACTCACAGCACCCGGCTATCCACCCAAAGCCATCCATCCAAGAAATAACTACAACCTGGGGTAATTAGTCTTTCTCACTTCCCAGGGCTGCTGGTTAGATCAATTCATTTGTGTCCATAATAAGAATTGAGCTCTTCGGATGAACAACACTAAATCTTGCTGGGTGAAGAAAAGGCTTACAGCAGGGGTCCGCAGCCCCCGGCCGTTGACCAGTATCTGTGTGGCCTGTTAGGAACTGGGCCGCACAGCAGGAGGTGAGCGTGGGGTGAACAAGCATTACCGCCGGAGCTCCACCTCCTGTCAGAACAGCGGTGGCATGAGTCTCATAGCAGCACAAGCCCTATTGTGAACTGCGCGTGTGAGGGATCTAGGTTGCGTGCTCCTTATGAGAGTCTAACTAATGCCTGATGATCTGAGGTGGTGGTTTCATCCTGAAACCATCCCCACCCTCCCATCCATGGAAAAACTGCCTTCCACCAAACCGCTTCCTGGTGCCAAAAAGGCTAGGGACGGCTGGCTTACAGAATATATTTCACCCAGTAATAAGGGCCTCCATGAATCTCTTTAATGTGTGTATAATGTCTCCTTTAAACTCAAAATATAAGCAGTGGAGAGCCCAGAATGAGGGAGAAAAACTCATTTTTCCTCTTTAGGTATCTTTGTCTTCTTGCAGTGTCTAAAATGATCTCTGAGTACTGCATATGCTTCAAAAAATAAGAAGAAAAATCAAAGAAATGTACAAAGTAATGCACAGCTCTGAGTTGGCCTCTTCCTGCAGGGTGGGGCGGGCGGCTCCCCCAACTTGTTCTCCAGGACACCAGAGGACCGAGGAGTGTCTCACTCAGCAATTAGGGCTCCCGGAGCCACACCCAGGCCCCCAGCACCCTCCTGCTTTTGTTTCTGGGAGAAAATGCTGCTGAGCACTGACGAAATCCGCAAAGAGATTAAAAATAATTGAGGGAGATCCTCAGTTTTGCTCCCCTCGCCTTTCCCTCGGGGCTGCAGCTGCCTGCTCCCAGGAGGTGCCGTGCAGGGTGGGAGGTGGCTTTCAGGAAGGGCAGTGGGCCTGGGTGACCACACCCTTCTTCTTTAAGGCTGTCCTCCTCCCCAGTTTGGGGACACCGTGTTTTCCTTTTCCTCCCGACTCTCCTCCTTGCCAGTTTTCTGACCCTACCACCTTCTCCCACCCACCCCCATGCTCACGGTCCTACCTACCTTGAAGGTTGACAGCGTCGTTGTCTTCCCTTCTGACTCTTCACCCTCTGTCTGGGTGACTCACTTATTCCTATGATGTCCAGTAGCACCCCCGTAAGGGGGACCTCAAATTTTCACATCCATTCCCACATCTGCCCGCTGATAGCTCAGACTCATTGTTTCCCAAAGGATCTCATTCTGTCTCCAGTTCTGACCCTCCACTGATTTCCCATCTTGACCACTGCCTACCCAGTTACTGTCCCAGTCGAAACCTGGGCGCCATGTGACGACTCTGCTCCCCTCTCTACAGCTACACAACCGCCGTGTGCTGTCGGGTCTTATCCTTTCCACCCCAGCTCCCATGGCCTTGGCTCCTGTCCCCACTTTCTCACAAGCTTCCCATGGGGCTTCCCTGCCTCCATTCTCTCTCAGTCCAATTTCCACATTTTGGTTGAAGGGATATTGCTAAAATGCCAATCTGATTATGTTCTCCCCTACTTAAATTCCTAAAGTGGAATCGTACTGCCCAGAGCAGTGATTTCTAAGTCTGATTGATACATCTGGGAGCTTTAAAAAAAAACAGAGATTCCGAGGGCCCAAGAAGGGCTGAGTCAGGATCTCCAGGGAGTCTTAGGAGGTTATTCCTGCTGTGGAGTGGATTTTGAAAATTCCTTGCCTGAAGAATCATCTTCAGATCCCTTCAAAGGCCCCTTCCCCACCACATATCCTACTCTTCAGACACACTGAATGATTTCATCTCCCCACTCTCTGCATGAACTGTTGTGCTATCTGATGTCCTCTCCAACCGAAGGCTTCCCTGATGCCCCCAGGCAAGATCAATTCCATCCTCCTTTGGGCTTCTTTTGTAGCTCATAGTCAAGAAAACTTCTGCTGTACCTCTCATCACGCTGTCCCTGTATTGCAGTTTTTAAGAAGATATCTCTCGGCCGGACATGGTGTCTCATGCCTGTAATCCCAGCACTTTGGGAGGCCGAGGGGGTGGATCACTTGAGGTCAGGAAGGAGTTCGAGACCTGCCTGGCCAACACGGAGAAACCTGTCTCTCTACTAAAAATACAAAAATTAGCAGGGCATGGTGGCATGTGCCTGTGATCCCAGATACTGGGGAGGCTGAGGCAGGAGAATTGCTTGCACCCGGGAGGCGGAGGTTGCAGTAAGCCCAGATCGTGCCATTGCACTCCAGCCTGGGTGACAGAGTGAGACTCCCTCTCAAAAATAAAGAAACAAAGTAAATAAAAAGATATCTCTCTAGCTAGATTACAGACACTCCCCAGGGGAAGTCTTTTCTTTTTTGATACGGAGTCTCACTCTGTCGCCCAGGCTGGAGTGCAGTGGCACAATCTCGGCTGACTGCAAGCTCCGCCTCCCAGGTTGACGCCATTCTCCTGCCTCAGCCTCCCTAAGAGCTGGGACTACAGGCGCCTGCCATCACGCCCAGCTAGTATTTTTTTTTTTTTTTTGTATTTTTAGTAGAGATGGGTTTTCACCGTGTTAGCCAGGATGGTCTCGATCTCCTGACCTTATGATCTGCCCGCCTTGGCCTCCCAAAGTGCTGGGATTACAGGCATAAGCCACTGCGCCCGGCTTTTTTTTTTTTGGACAGTGTTTCGCTCTTGTTGCCCAGACTGGAGTGCAATAGCACAATCTCAGCTCACTGCAACCTCTGCCTCCCGGGTTCAAGAGATTCTCCTGCCTCAGCCTCCCAGGTAGCTGGGATTACAGGCATGTCCACCACACCCGGCTAATTTTTTGTATTTAGTAGAGATGGGATTTCACCATGTTGGTCAGGCTGGTCTCCAACTCCTGACCTCAACTGATCCACCCACCTTGGCCTCCCAAAGTGCTGGGCTTACAGGCATGCACCACTGTGCCCGGCTGGGAAGTCTCAATAGCGTTGCGTCCTTCCCCTGTTCAGCAACACTGGCACGTAATTGGTCCTCAATGAATATGCACTAAATGCATGACTGGATGGAGTTAAATATGAGAACACACATTATTTCCACATATGGAATTTTATAAAGATGGAATAATATAAAGAGCTACAAACAACCGTTACAGTTTCTGAAGTTTGAAAATTTCTGAAATCCCAGAAACTTTCCATTTTCTGCCTAAAATCTCCCTATCATTGCTATGAGCCTGTTTGTCCCAAGATCCTCAACTAAAACCACCAGACAGATGCAGACAAAGGAGATTTAAAAAAAACAATAATAAACCGAGCCAGGTGCCAGTGGCTCATGCCTGTAATCCCAACACTTTGGAAGGCCAAGGCAGGAGGATTACTTGAGCCCAGGTGTTGGAGACCAGCCTCGGTAACATAGAGAGACCCCGTCTCTACAAAACATTAAAAAAAACTATCCGGGGATAAGAAGCACATGCCTATAGTCCCAGCTACTCGGGAGGCTGAGCTGGGAGGATCGGTTGAGCCTGTGAGGCTAAGGCTGCAGTGAGTCGAGATCTCACCACTGCACTCAGTTCTGGGTGACAGAGTGAGAACCTGTCTCAAAAATCAACCGATTGATCAAAACTCTGCTTTTTATTATCATGGGCTGGCAATTCCAAACAATGTCAAGAGAGAAAATGCTTCCAATCCTTCTGCTCACCAAGTAAACCTGCCCTCTTGTGATTCCTTTTATCATTGTCATGAAGTGAGGACCTGTACGACCTTTAAAGCTTTATCAATGAGAAAGATTGAATACAAAAAGCTACCGATGACTGAATACTACTTTCTCCTTTACCTTCCTTGGCTTGACAAGATTTTGAGAATATAGACACGAAAGAATTAGGCATTTAGTTTTTTTGAATTTTAAGAGCATACACCAATGAAATAGGATTTCTAGTCATGTTTTCAGAGTGCTGTAGCCTGAACCACAAATTACCATGTAGTTCAGAGGAAAGATAAGTAACACACCACTCAACTGTAGTTCAGGGGAAAGATAGGTAACGAATGCACACACCTCATTTTCTTTCCTGAATTACCAAAACAAAACCACCCACAAGAATAGAGCGCTTAAAAGAAAACTGCGGAAAAACGTACAAGACAAACGTCAGCGGTAGGGCAAATAACTAACCTGAGAAAAGCCGAATACTAGATAGAGAAAAGCTAACAGCCAAAAAGCCTCAGCCTTTCATAAAGAGGCAGCACCTGGTAACCCTGGGAACTAGTGTGTCCAGAACTAGCGGGTTCTCGGTCTTACTAATTTCAAGAACGAAGTTGCAAACTTAAAGTGTTTTAGCTGTACAGTGAGTGTTCCAGCTGTTAAACACAGCGTTGCCCAGAGTTCGCTGTCTCACTAGTTCGGGAGTAAAGCTGCAGACCTTCACAGTTCATGTTATCATACTTAAAGTACCATATCTGAAGTTCTCTGTTCTTTTTCAAGGGCTCACAACCCACATTAGATTCAGAAAAATCTACAGACTTTAGCAAAAAACCGCTGAAACTCCCAACAACAATCTGAACCCAAAAAACAAAAAAAAAAAAGACAAATATCTCACATCATATGAAACAAACTAACCAAATTACCGGGGCTAGCTCGGGCAGCCTGCTTTTATTCTCTTATCTGGCCCCACCCACATCCTGCTGATTGGTCCATTTTACAGAGAGCCGATTGGTCTGTTTTACAGAGAGCTGATTGGTCCGTTTTTAACAGGGTGCTGATTGGTGCGTTTACAATCCCTGAGCTAGACACAAAAGTTCTCCACGTCCCCACTAGATTAACTAGATGCAGAGTGTTAATTGGTGTATTTACAAACCCTGAGCTAGACACAGAGTGCTGATTGGTGCATTTACAAACTTTGAGCTAGATACAGAGTGCCGATTGGTGCATTCACAATCCCTTAGATAGACATAAAGGTTCTGCAAGTCCCCACCAGATCAGCTAGACACAGAACGCCGATTGGTGCATTTACAAACCTTGAGCTAGACGCAGGGTGCTGATTGGTGCATTTACAAACCTTCATCTACATACAGAGTGCCGATTGGTGTATTCACAATCCCTTAGCTAGATAAAAAGGTTCTCCAAGTCCCCACCAGATTAGCTAGATACAGAGTGCCGATTGGTGCAGCCACAAACCCTGAGCTAGACAGAGGGTGTTGATTGGTGTGTTTACAAACCTTGAGCTAGATACAGAGTGCTGATTGGTGTATTTACAACCCCTTAGCTAGACATAAAGATTGTTCAAGTCCCCACCAGACTGACTGAGCCCAGCTGGCTTCACCCGGTGGTATTCCCCAGCGGGGCCGCAGGTAGAGCTGTCAGTCCCGCCCGTGGACCCGCACTGTTTAGTCCTTTGGGCGGTCAATGGGACTCTGTGCTGTGAAGTAGGGGGCGGCGCTCGTCCGGGAGGCTCAGGAGACTCGGGCTGTGCAGGAGCCCAGGGCGGGGTTGGGACGGGGGGCTCAGGCATGGTGGGCTGCAGGTCCCGAGCCCTGCCCCATGGGGAAGCAGCTAAGGCCTGGCAAGAAATCGAGGACAGCCGTTGTTGGCCCAAGTGCTAAGTTCCTCACTGCCTGGGCCGGCGGGGCCGGCCGAGCCCAAGCCCACCCAGAACTCGCTCTGGCCCGCAAGCGCCGCGCGCATCCCCGGTTACTGCCCGTGCCTGTCCCTCCACACCTCCCCGCAAGCCAAGGGAGCCGGCTCCGGCCTCGGCCATCCCTGGAAGGGATCCCACAGTGCAGCGGTAGGCTGAAGGACTCCTCAAGCACGGCCAGAGTGGGCGTCGAGGCCGAGGAGGTGCCAAGAGCGAAGGGGGGCTGCCAGCAGGCTGGCACCTCTCACTAGCGGGGAAGGAAGTGTGACTGGGTTTCTGAGGAGGAGCTGTTAAAGATGCTTTTAAATTCCAGGATCCCTCCCCGACTCCTGGACGGGCCCTTTCCCACTGCAGCACAAGCCTGGGGACAGATGTATTTTCAGGAGAGGGGAAAGGAGAAGGTCTCTGCACTGGGGACCAGGGGCACAGCTGCGGGGGAGGACCCGAGAGTCAGTGGGGAGGGTGGTGTGAATGTTTACACCCTAAAGAATGCAGCAGCATACCACCAAAGTCTCTAATATCAAGGAGACGCAAGGAAGGGGGAAAAGCAACTTGGGGAAATGGGACACTGCAGAGAAAAGATAACTTCCAGAACCCCCTCGAGTATTAATAAGGGAAACTGACCTGTCTCTAGCTAGAGACTCAAAACCAAGTCAGGACAGCATGTTTTTAAAGCCAGATGACAGCAATATAGAGAAAAGAGAGTGTATTCATAAAAGAAGAATGCAATGAGGTTTTTTGTTTTGTTTTAGTTTTTTGTTTTGTTTTGAGACGGAGTCTCTCTCTGTCGCCAGGCTGGAGTGCTGTGGCGTGATCTCAGCTCACTGCAACCTCCGCCTCCCAGGTTCAAGTGATTCTCCTGCCTCAGCCTCTGGAGTAGCTGGGATTACAGGCACGCGCCACCACGCCAGGCTAATTTTTTTATTTTTAGTAGAGACGGGGTTTCACCATGTTGGCCAGGGATGGTCTCGATCTCCTGACCTCGTGATCCGCCCACCTCAACCTCCCAAAGTGCTGGGATGACAGGCATGAGCCACCGCGCCCGGCCCACAATGAGTTTTTTTAAAGTAGCATTCAAGAGAACAAAGAAAGATCTATTGGAAATTAAAAATATAATAGAAATGAAAAGTTCAAGGTAAAACTGGAAATCTCCCAGAGTAAAATGACAAGGAGATGAAAAATAAGTCAAGGAACTGGAGACTTGATGGTGGAGAGATGAAGAGAATCCCCGTGTGACGGGAAAAGGGGCCTGCCAGATGATTGCTGGACACCAGCGTGGGAGCAACTAGCCCGGAGGGTCTGCATGGAGACCAAACTGGGAGGATATATGATGAAAATGAACCTACTGGGACAGGACCCAGACAATGAGCAGAAAGTTTGGAGTTGAATTAGCCACAGCAGACAGAAAAGTAGGCAATTTTTTAAAAAAAAGGACAGTTGTTAATTTGGGGGAAACTTAATAGCTAAGCACAAAAGAAAAAAGTAGTTGCAATATTACAAGATTGACTCTGAACACAGATAGTCACACTGACACAAATAATGGAAATTGATGTGAAAACTCCAAGCTACCCGGGAGACTGAGGCAGAAGGATGGCTTGAACCCTGGAGTTCAAATCTGCTCTGGGCAGCATAGGGAGACTCCGTGTCTAACAAAAAGTAATAAAAGTTAAAACATAACTGGGATGACAGGCAAGAGGACAGAAGTGAAAATATGTGGAGAATGAAGAACTAAATCTTCAACTTTCATAGAAGAAAATAACTAATGTTTTAAACTGAAAAATAAAGCAATACAAGCTTGTTAATTAAATTTATCCAGGTAAATACCAAAATAATCAGTTAAAAGAACATAACTGACACTAGCAAAGGAGAAATTGGGGAAGTGGGTATAGGGGAAGTGGTTTTTTTTAACTTAATAATTTGATTGACTTTGAAAAATAAGGGCGTGGCATGATGGTTCATGTCTGTAATCCTAGCACTTGGGAGGCCAAGGCAGGCAGATGGCTTGAGCCCAGAAGTTTGAGACCAGCTTGAGCAACACAGTGAGACCCCATCTCTACAAAAAATACAAAAAATAAGTGGATGTGGTGGCGTGCACCTGTAGTCCCACCTACCTACGAGGCTGATGTGGGAAGATTGATTGAGCCCAGGAGGCAGAGGTTGTAGTGAGCTGAGGTCGAGCCACTGTACTCCAGCCTGGGTGACAGAGTGAGACCCTGTCTCAAACCTTTTAAAAAAGAAAAATAAGTACATACATATACATTTGACAAAAAGTGAAACGGCAATATTGGATGTTTTTGCAAGTGGAAAAAATGTTTATTCTAAACTAAAGTAACATTAATATAAAGTTTAGACCTTTTTTTCACAATAAAGAAACAGAATCCCCTGGCTATCATTATGGTAGGCTAACACTAAAATGAATGAAATTTCTCATCCAAAACAGGTAGAGTTATTTAATTTCCATAAGAAATTCACAACTCATCTTTGAAGCAATGATATTAATTACATGAGACATCCATAGGAAGTTTAAATCATGAAAGTATGCATCCTTTCTATCAATGCTTTTTATAGAAGTGAAAAACAAGGCCGGGCGTGGTGGCTCATACCTGTAATCCTAGCATTTTGGGAGGCCAAGGTGGGTGGATCATGAGGTCAGGAGTTCAAGACCAGCCAGGCCAACATGGTGAAATCCTGTCTACTAAAAATACAAAAAAAAAAAATTAGCCAGGCATGGTGACACACACCTCTAATCCCAGCTACTCTGGAGGCTGAGGCAGGAGAATTGCTTAAACCCAGGAGGCGGAGGTTGCAGTGAGCCAAGATCACACCACTGCACTCCAGCCTAAGTGACAGAGCAAGACTCTGTCTCGGGAAAAAAAAAAAAAAAAAAAGAAGTGAAAAACATCTTTACAAAGGCCAGTTTCCCATATTTCAATATAGATGTAAAATTCAAATGGCTTTTAGAAGTTTTCAAATTTGTAGGAAAACCCCCCACCCAATAAATCTTCTTGTCCAAATCAAGGTAAAAACTAATTTTCAGAATCTGAGAGTCAGAAGGGCCAGGCCCTCTGACTTATGAAAGTTTCTCATCTAGGATTTGGGGCATGATGAGTCCTTGGCCAGGCCTTTATTGTGGAAACCCACAGCACATTCACAGCCAGGCCACAACACATGTGGAACTAAAGTCCACCCCCTCCCTTTTTCTTTTTTCTTTAAATGAGCAGATTATTCTCAAGACTTCCTTTTTATTTATTTATTTATTTATTTATTTATTGAGACGGAGTTTTGCTTTTGTTGCCCAGGCTAGAGTGCAATGGCGCAATCTTTGCTTACCGCAGCCTCTGCCTCCCAGGTTCAAGTGATTCTCCTGCCTCAGCCTCCCGCGTAGCTGGGGTTACAGGTACGCACCACCATGCCCGGCTAATTTTGTATTTTCAGTAGAGACGGCTTCTCCATGTTAGTCAGGCTGGTCTCAAACTCCTGACCTCAGGTTTTCTGCCCACCTCGACCTCCCAAACTGCTGGGATTATAGGCGTAAGCCACCACACCCAGCCAGACTTCCATCTTAAACTGGGTTTGGAGTTTATTGTCTCCTCTCCTCACGGTTTTTCCTAGCTCAGACATCTGGTCAAAATCTACCCTCTCTCAGTCATATTGTGGCTGTCTGTCCTTTTCTTTTCTTTTTTCTTTCCTCCCCTCCCCTCCTCTCCCCTCCCTGTCCCATCCCTTTCCTTTCCTCTCTTTCTTTCTTTCCTTTATTTTCTTCTTTTTTCTTTTCTTTTCTTTCTTTCCTTTATTTTCTTCTTTCTTCTTTTCTTTTCTTTCTTTCTTTCGTTTTCTTCTTTTTTTTCCTTTTTGAGACAGTCTCACTTTGTCTCCCATGCTGGAGTGCACTGATGCGATCTTGGCTCACGGCAGCCTGTATCTCCCCGGCTCAAGCAATCTTTCCCCCTCATCTTCACTAGTAGCTGAACTGTAAGCTTGTGCCACCATGCCAGCTAATTTAAAAAAAAATTTGTAGAGATGGGGGTCACACTATGTTTTGAACTCCTAGGCTGGTCTCAAACTCCTAGGCTCAAGTGATCCTCCCGCCTTGGCCTCCCAAAGTGCTGGGATTACAGGTAGGAGCCACCACACTCAGCCCCGAGACCTGTCATTTCTTTATCTCATAGTCACCCTTATCTGAGTGGCCCACACCCTTTCTGTTCATGCAGCTGCCCGTCTCAACAGCTTACGGACACACACCTGTAGCTCAAGCTGTTTCTCAAAGAAGTAGCTCATAGAACAAGATTGAGAAACTCTGTAGAACCAGACCCTTCTTTCTCCTCTGAACCAGAGGCTGTCTCTAGAACTGTAAGAACACAGCACCATAGGCCGGGGCCAGTGGCTCACGCCTATAATCCCAGCACTTTGGGAGGCCGAGGCAGGTGGATCACCTGAGGTCAGGAGTTCGAGACCAGCCTGACCAACATGGTGACACCCCATCTCTACTAAAAATACAAAAATTAGCCAGGCACGGTGGTGCACACCTGTAGTCCCAGCTACTCGAGAGGCTGAGGTAGGAGAATTGCTTGAACCCAGGAGGCGGAGGTTGTGATGAGCCAAGATCATGCCGCTGCACTCCAGACTGAATAACAGAGTGAGACCTGTCTCCAAAAAAAAAAAAAAAAAAAGGAGAGAGGAAATGATGGGCAAGGTGTGGGAAAAGCTATCAAGCATACTCTTTAATTAGGAAAGGGAGGAATCTGCACTTTGGAAGAGAGTGGAGATAATGCAGAAGGCAGAGGAGACAGATGACAGGAGCTGTCTGCCCAAATACCCTGGAGTCTTTTTTTCTTTTTTTTTTTTTTTTTTTGAGACAGAGTCTCACTCTGTCACCCAGACCGGAGTGCAGTGGCATGATCTCGGCTCACTGCAACCTCTGCCTCCTGGGTTCAAGCGATTCTTCTGCCTCAGCCTCCGGAGTAAATGGAACTACAGGCGTGTGCCACCATGCCCAGCTAATTTTTTTTGCATTTTTAGTAGAGACAGGGTTTTACCATGTTAGACAGGATGGTCTCGAACTCCTGACCTCAGGTGATCTGCCCACCTTGGCCTCCCAAATTGCTAGGATTACAGACATGAGCCACTGCACCCGGCCACTTGATTGCTTTTTATTCTATTTTCTCCTCCAATTGTGTGTTTTCAAATAACCTGTCTTTAGCTCACTGATTCTTGGCTCAACTTGATCCATTCTGCTGTTGAGAGCCTCTAATGAATATTTTAATTCAGCAAATGTATTTCTTAGTTCCAATATTTCTGTTTGTTTGTTGTTATTTCAATCTCTTTGTTAAATTTCTCTGATGAATTTCTGAATTGCTTTTCTGTATTATCTTGGAGATCACTGAGTTTCCTTAAAACTACTATTTGACTTATTGGTCAGAGAGCTCACATATCACCATCCTGTTGGGGTCAGTTACTGGTTCCTTGGTTTGTCCATTTTGGAGGATTGTTGTTCCCTGTTTGCCGTTGTTTCTTCTGGATGTACGTCTGTCTTTGCATTGAAACATTATGTATTCCAGTCTTCTCTAGCTTGTTTGGGTTTTTATTGAATATATTTGCTTAGAAGTTATTCACTGCTAGGCCACTGCCCCCTTTTCAGCTCTGGGTGGCACCTTAAAGCCCAGGTTCACTTTGACTCTAGTAACTGATCAGTATACTGCCCTTCCTGGCTAGGAGTTTGTGCCCAGGGGACCTGTGAGCTGAACCCCCTACAGTGTCGTACTGCTAAATAGTCACTCTGACTTGGTGCCTCCTTTGGTTGAGTTACAGAACAGAATTTCCAGGGTGGGGATGGTAGTCCTGCCTCCTCCCTTTGTCTCTGCCTGTTCTCAGAGATATTTCTCCTTTTATGCTTCCTGTGGGTTAAGGAAGGAACGGATCTCCTGCCGGGGAACCCAAGATGGTGGGGGAGCTGTTTGTTGACCTTGATCTTACTTACACCAGTGTAGAAACAGTGAGTTGGGGGGAAATTTTCCACACACTTGCTGCCAGGTAGAACGAGGGGAGGGGTGTCACAGATGTGGAAATCTGATTATCTTACCATCTTCTCGGGTTTTTTTCACCTCTTTGTGGCCCTGAAAACTGTCTTATCTTCATATTTTAGTTCTGGGATATTTCTGGTGATCATCTCGGTGCAAGTCAGGGTTTACTGTTACTTGCAACCAGAAGCACACCAGTTGGTGCACTCTTCCATCCAGGCAGAGCAGGTTCTCTGTCATCTACCTCTGGCATGTAGCTCAGCTTTTCACCCTCCCAGTCCCCACCCAAACCTATCCATCCCTCAGTCTGGCTCTGGTCCTACCAGTCCCACCCAACCACTCCAATCCATGCAATTTGCTCCTTTCTCTGTACATCTATGGCATGTACCTCTGGGCCACACAATTTAGCACTTAGACCTCACATTCTTTCCAAATCATTTGTGTGTGAGTGTGAACATGTGAGTGTGTGTGTGTCCACGTGTGTGTTATTGCATAAGAAACAGCAATATTAAGGATAGGAGATAACATATAACCCTTGTATATTCCCCAATAGCATTCTGTTGATAGGCTTAGAATAATATTCAATTTAGAAAAATAATACAGTGAATGAACTATATGGTTTTTTTGATTTTCATCAACTTTCTACTTGCTGGGGAAGAAGTTTTATTTTATTTTGATAGGAGGATGGGATGTTGGGAAAAGAATCTAAGCCACATAAGTCTATGTTTAACGTAAACATTTACTCCTAGCTTTCAAACCTCTATTGCAACCTCCAATCAGACTCCGTGTGGTAAGTCTCTTTATGAATGCAGCGTGAGGCCAGGCGCGGTGGCTCACGCCTGTAATCCCAGCACTTTGGAAGGCTAAGGTGGACAAATCGCTTGAGCTCGGAGAGTTTGAGAACAGCCTGGACAACATGGCAAAACCCCATCTCTACCAAAAAAAAAAAAAAAAAAATTAGCCAGGTGTGGTGGTGTGCCCCTGTAGTCCTGCTATTTAGGGGGCTGAAGTGAGAAGATCTCTTGTGCCTGGGAAGTTGAGGCTGCAGTAAGCCATGTTTGCACTACTGCATTCCAGCTTGGGTGACAAAGTAAGACTCAAAAAAAAAAAAAAAAAACAAAAACCAGCAGCATAAAAGCTACATAAAAAGAGCCCAAGGAAGGAAAGAGGTCATTAGCCCATTTATGCCTAGTGTTCCATTATCGGAATGCTAAGCTTATGGGAGTTATTTATACTCTACTGCTCAAGGTCATCGCTAAGGTCTGATTTTTCACACACACAAAAAATTTGCAACCTCTGGCATACATGGGTTAACTGGGTGGCATTTCATTCTGCTGTTCACATTTTCTACTTAAAAAAAAAAAAAAGAAAGAAAAATCAGGCTGGGCGCAGTGGCTCATGCCTGTAATCCTAGCACTTTGGGAGGCCAAGGCAGGTGGATTGTCTGAGCTCAGGAGTTCAAGACCAGCCTGGGCAACGTGGTGAAACCCCATCTGTACTAAAAACACAAAAAATTAGCCGGGCGTGGTGGTGCGCACCTGTAATCTCAGCTACTCGGGAGGCTGGGGCACGAGAATCACTTGAACCTGGGAGGCGGAGGTTGCAATGAGCCAAGACAGCACCACTGCACTCAAGCCTGGGCGACAGAATGAGACTATCTCAAAAAAAATAATCAGACCAGACTCATGGGAGGCTGAGAGGCTTTGCAGTTCTGCAGCTTGTGGGGTGCAGGAAGCAGCCCCAGAGCAGCACTGGCCACTCCCGGAGAAGGACAGACTGTTGACTTCCAAACTAGGGCAGGATGCTGACAGTCAAGGCTACCACTTTTCAATTTCCCCTCCTCTTCTTGAAATTATGTGTGACAGAGAAAGGCCCTAATAGGCCAACAGAAAGTGGATCCCATTTCCACAGATCAGATGACAGTCCTGCCCCTATGCTGGCGAACTACCAAAGGAGCTCCTCTGGGCGTTCCTTGTCCTGCTTCCAGGTGTTAACTGAGGAAGAGACACAAACACTAACAGCAGCCCTTCAAGGGTCCGGGCCTTCAAACCCAAGAGCTGCCTGATTCTCACCTGCCCTCCCAGGGGCAACCCAAGCTGTGAAGTCTGGCCTCTTGGTCCATCCACAGTTTTCACTCTGTGAACATCTGCAAGCACTGGCCATCCACATTCCTAAAAGCCACAGGGTTCCAATGGCTCCAGCACCCACCCGTTTCCACACGCTGAGCAGCCTTCTTTCATATCTGTTAGTATTTGCAGACACTTCGTTTTCCATCTAGCACAGGCGGTGCATGTGCTGCCTTCACACCCCTGCAGCTCCAGTGGGCAGCACTTGGCGTCCCACAGCACAGCCAGCCCTACCCGCACCCAGCGTCCACCCGCAGGATCCAAAGGCCCCATAATGTGCCGAATATAATCTTTCTCCCCTTCAAAACACATAGTTCTAGGAAACAAATGCTGGCTTGCTGGGATGCTGACATTGGCTGGCACAAAGCCCACACCAAAAGGGGTGAGGCCCCTTTGGTGTGGCCCTCCCTAGACCAGGGAGAGCCCGCCGAGGCTGGGGGTGGGTCTGCCTTTGGCTTGAAGATAGAAGCAGCTGAAATTTCAAACCCAAAATACAATCATGCAGCGATCTTTTCTGGACCTGCCTTCTCGTAGGGGCTTGTTTTTTCTTCATTGCAAAAATATTTTCCCATTGTTAACCTGTTTGAAGTTTTTTGTTTGTTTGTTTCCAGAACTGCCTTGTCTGCAGCAAGCCCATCTAGTCAGAGGGCTGGACTTTTGTCTCTGTGACACCTCTGGAAACATTGCCTCTCACTCTGGAAAGCCGTCCCCAGAGAATCTTCTCTTTGTTCCCCATCCCCTGCCTCCAGAGGCAGAAGCATGTAAGCCCACTCGGCCACCCCAGGACTCAGAACCGCTCCCAAGGTCACGGTATTTTAGAGAGATGCTGGGAGAGCAATCCAGCGAATGCCTCAGAACTGCCCACTGATTCTGTGGTCAAGACACTTTCTTTCCCGGCCACAGACTGAAGGCAGCAAGCACGGGTGTACTTGCTCGGAAACCACCGCAGCAAAGAGGCTACTGAAGAGATCCTAACCGGATCTGGCTTTCCAGCAAAGCCGCAGCTCCGGGCTTTCCACACTGCACCAAGCTGAGCAACTAGATGCTCCATGAGGCTGCCACGAACCGAAAACAAACGAACAAAACAAACATAAGCACCCAAAACAACAACCTGGCTCTCCTCCAGAATCCAAATGACCACTTGGCTTACATGCCAGAGGAAATCTGGGGTCTCAAGTGGCGCAGGGTCGGGAGCTCGGCTGGTGCCACAGCCCCCGCCCTGCTGTCCCGCCCTATGGGACTCAGGCTGCCCGGTGAGGGCCGCAGCTCCGATCCCAGCTCCACCTGAGCCCACAAGCTGTGCACTGTGGTCCCTTGTCCCAAATGGGGTGTGGCTTCCTGACGCGATGAGGAGGCCCTGAAAGCCAACCAGCTCCTCCCCCTGGCTTAGGCCAGGGCAGGGCTGGCCCAGGTAAAACTGTGAAGTCAGTGGCTTTTGGATTTCTCCATCCTCTCTTTTCTGGACTTCTCTCTGGACTTCCCACCACGCCCCTTCCACTGCCCTCCACCCATCACCGTTTGCTCTACGCATATGAGCCATTTACAATGTAGGGTGAACTGATCTGCCATTGAGGTCAAGGCCCTCATCTGCTCTTGAGACATATTCCCAGGAGCCGCGTGGGAGGTGAGGACGATTTCCACAGTGATCCTCCTTCCTCCTCCACGGGCTGTGCTAAGGATGGAAAGACCACTTTGCTCTGGAGTGGTGATTTTAAATCCAAAGGAGCCTGTTCGTCCAAGAACACTCACTTCCTCATTTTGGAAGAGGGTAACAGAACGACAGAATGACACCGCAAGTGAATTTGTATTAGACTCTGAGAATTCGTAGGGGAAGCCAGCATTAATTGAGTGCTTCCTGGTGTCAAGCTCTGAGCTTTCACTGGCAGCACATTCACCTTCCACACCGTCCTCATTTCAGATAAGGGAGTATGTTCAGAAAGTTGGATTTGCCCACGTTCGCCCAGTTAGTCAATACTGCAGGAGGCGGCATCCAACCACTGCACTGTGGAGGTGGGCGGACCCAGGCCAGGTGGGAAATGTCCAATGACTTCCCCAAGCTCACTGACCCTGTGCTCAACAACTCAGGAAATTCAGCGAGGCACCAGCTATGGCAGCCTATTTTGCTTTGGCTATAATACCTTCTCCCTTCCTCTAAATGGCTTTGATCTTTTTACTGATAGTATTGAGAATGTTGCTTAACGAAGACTAGTTAAAAATTATTTCTGTTTTTTGGTGTTTGGGTTGTGTTGTTTTTCTTTTTCTTCTTTTCTTTTCTTTTTTTTTTTTGAAACAGCATCTCATTCACCCAGGCTGGAGCACCGTCGTGGCTCACTGCAGCCTCAACCTCCCAGACTCAAGTGATCCTCCCACCATAGCCTCTGAATAGCTGGGACCATAGTCGCGTGCCACCATGCCTGGCTAATTTTTTTTTAGTTTTATTTTAATAGAGATGAGGTCTTCTATGTTACCTAGGCTGGTTTCGAACTCCTGAGCTCAAGCAACCCTTTTGCCTCAGCCTCCCAAAGTGCTGCGATTACAGGTGTGAGCCACTGTATCTGGTCTTAAAAATTATTAATAGGCAAGGTATACATTATTTTTAAAAAATTAAAAAGGAGTAGCAGATCCTGGGCTAGAATCAGGTTCTCTTAACTCAAATCTGGGACTTTTCAATTACAGCACATGACTGCCTACGAACACCTGCATAAGTATTAACGAAACTGTAGGCCGGGCGCGGTGACTCACACCTGCAATCCCAGCACTTTGGGAGGCTGAGGTGGGTGGATCACCTGAGGTCAGGAGTTCGAGACCAGCCTGGTGAAACCCCGTCTCTACGAAAAATACTAAAAAATTAGCCGGGCGTGGTGGCACATGCCTGTAATCCCAGCTACCTGGGAGGCTGAGGCAGGAGGATTGCTTGAACCTGGGAGGCAGAGGTTGCAGTGAGCCGAGATTGCACCATTGCACTCCAGCCTGGACAACAAGAGTGAGATTCCATCTCAAAACAACAACAACAACAAACTGTAAATGAATGGGTACCTATATGTCCTATAGCAGCCTCCATGCACATACCTTAAAGTATGCTTCTGTAGTACATTCAACATTGTCCAAGTCTAACAAAAAATGCTGTAGCCGTTATCCTTCACTTTATATGGAATGGCACCTATTAGGAACCAAATGAGAAAAGTAACCAGTATTTATTTTTATTAAAGTGTATTGTGTGCTAAATGACATGCCTGCATTATATCTCATTTAATCCTAACTGCAATATAATGGATACCATTGTCCTCCAATTGACAAAAATCTTGCCATACTCTTTTTAGGAGCAACAAAATATACAATACAATTATGGTCATCCTGATGTGCCACAAGAAAACTACAGGTTAAACGTGGGGAACTACTTTCTGGAGCATCATTACTTGATGTGAGTTTAAAACTTCAAACATAACAGAAATTTATTATGAACTGGAGTGAAAAATTCACATGAATTTTGTTTTAAGCTGATAGAAGAAATAAGACATGGTGCTGATAGATCAGTAGGGTTACTATAATGTTAATTGATTGTATATTTCAAAATCAGCTAGAATAATTCAAATGTTCCTAGGGTAAAGAAAATA
The DNA here is from genome assembly GCF_000001405.40 of Homo sapiens. Lineage (NCBI taxonomy): Eukaryota > Metazoa > Chordata > Mammalia > Primates > Hominidae > Homo > Homo sapiens. The sequence continues at coordinate 7,429,592 of NC_000006.12, read as the reverse complement.
TAATCTTTTTTTTTTTTGAGACAGAGGCTCGCTCTGTTCCCCTGGCTAGAGTACAGTGGTATGACCGAGGCTCAGTGCAACCTCCACCTCCTGGGTTCAAGCAATTCTCTTGCCTCAGCCTCCCGAGTAGCTGGGATTACAGGTGTGCACCACTGTGCCCGGCCAATATATATATATTTTTTTTGTATTTTTAGTAGAGATGGGGTTTCACTATGTTACCTAGGCTGGTCTTGAACTCCTGACCTCTAGTGAGCCGCCCGCCTCAGCCTCCCAAAGTGCTGGGATTACAGGCATGAGCCACTGCACCTGGTCTAAGATAAAGATTTAAGGTGATAAATATCCCAATTGCCTTGATTTGACTATATGAATGTATCAAATTATCACATGTACCCAAAAAATATGTACATCTGATATGTATCAATTTTTTTTTTTTGAGATGGAGTCTCACTCTGGCGCCCAGGCTGGGGTGCAGTGGCATGATCTTGGCTCACTGCAATCTCCACCTCCCAGGTTCAAGCAAGTCTTCTGCCTCAGCCTCCCAAGTAACTGGGACTACAGGCGCCTGCCACCACGCCCAGCTAATTTTTGTATTTTTTAGTAGAGATGGGGTTTCACCATGTTGGCCAGGCTGGTCTTGAACTCCTGACCTTATGATCCACCCACCTCAGCCTCCCAAAGTGCTGGGATTACAGGCGTGAGCCACTGTGCCCGGCCAATTTTAAAAATAAATTAAAACAATTTAACAGGAATTTAGTATGAAAAGGAATGAAAAATTCACATGGACTTTTTTTCAAGCTCAAACAAGAGATTTGAAAGAAATGTCACGCTTGGAGGTGGAGTAGAAGCAGCTCAGTGATGTTCTTCCATCTTTGGTAGAAAACTTTGAGGAACAAACTTATAAGCTAACAAAATATTGTTGGGGAAAAAAACAAGTATTTTACGTCTCCTTTTATTTATTCTTAAGAAGTCTCATTTTCCCCCATACTCTGTATATCAACTATATTTAAACCAATTGGAATGGCAATTTTAACTTTTTGTTTTTGTTCTTCAGAATTAATATTCCTGAGTATGAAATTTTAAAGAATCTTTGTGTGTGTGAGACCAGATCTCACTCTGTCGCCCAGGCTGGAGTGCAGTGGTGCGATCACTGCTCACGAAACCTCAACCTCCTGGGCTCAAACGATCCTCCCACCTCAGCCTCCTAAGTAGCTGGGACTACAGGCATTCACCACCACACCCAGCTAATTTATAAATTTTTGGTAGAAGTGGTGTCTCTCTCTGTTACCCAGGCTGGTCTTGAACTCCTTGCCTCAAGAGATCCTCGGCCTCCCAAACTGTTGGGATTACAGGTGTGAACCACAGCATCCAGCTAAAAAAGTATCTTATGTGAAGTTTAACTTAGATTCTGGGGGAAAGTTCCTTCCTTTGTATGTTGTTTTATCCTATGTATCACATATCCACTAACGGAATTTAAATTTCCTATCCTACCAAAAGGTGGGTGAAATTAATGTAAATATTTGACCCAATATATGCAAAATATTACCATTTCAACATGTACCCAACATTTAAAAATTATTCTATACATTATATATGTCATACTATCTTCATAACCCAGTATGTATTTCACACTTACAATCCAAACTAGCCACATGCAAACACTCAGTAGTCACATGTGGCTCCTGACTCCCTGCTGAAGAGGGCAGCTCTAAACCTATCAGAGGCTTTATCAGTTCAATATTATTTTACAGATGAGAAAGCGGAGGCCCAGAAAGATGACGTGAGCCTCAGCAAGTTCATCAGCATTCACCCTCGCAATCTAAGGCCCTTTAAACGTCTATTTTTGTTATTGTTATTCTTTTGTTAAAGCGTGCTTTTTACTTTTTTGAGACAGAGTTTCACTCTTACTGCCCAGGCTGGAGTGCAGTGGTGAGGTCTCGGCTTATTGCCATCTGCGCCTCCTAGTTTCAAGCATGATCCCCCTCAGCCTCCCAAGTAGCTGGGATTACAGGCATGTACCACCACACCTGGCTAATTTTGTATTTTTAGTAGAGACAGGATTACATGTTAGGCTGATTTGAAATGCCTGACCTCCAGTGATCCGCCCACCTCAACTTCCAAAAGCGCTGGGATTAAAGTGTGAGTCACCAAACCCAGCTTATTTTGAAGTAAGCCAGATCCTGATTGGATGAACAACTTCTGAAAAATGTTACTGAGGAGTTAGTTCCTCAGGAGTTCTTCAGTGAGGATTAATTCTAAAATCAGCCACTAAACAGGCCAGGTGTGGGGACTCACGCCTGTAATCCTAGTGTCCACAATTGGGGGGTTTATTGGTTTCACTGACTTAATGAAGCCGCAGACTCTCGCGTTCAGTGTTAAAGTTCTGAAACGCAGCGTGTCCCTAGTTAGTTCCTTCTGGCATTTTAGATACGTTCTGAGTTTTTTCTTCCTAGAGGTTCATGGTCTCACTGGCTCCGGAATGAACCTACAGACCTTCGCGCTAAGTGTTACAGGTCTCTAAGGTCGCGCGTCTGGAATTGTTTGTTCTTCCTGCGGGGTTCAGGGTTTTCCTGGCTTTCAGAGCGAAGCAGCATGCTCTCACAGTGAGCGTGACAACTCACAAAGACAATGCACACCCAAACCCTGAGCACTGACAAAACTTACCGCAAACAGTGAAAGAACAAAGCTCCCACACTACGGAAACATAAATCTGAGCAAGTTGCTACTGCTAGGGCAGGCAGCCTGCTTTTATTCTCTTATCTGGCCCCTCCCGCATCCTGCTGATTGGTCCATTTTACAGAGAGCCGATTGGTCTGTTTTACAGAGAGCTGATTGTCTGTTTTGAGAGGGTGCTGATTGGTGCGTTTACAATCCCTGAGCTAGACACAAAAGTTCTCCACCTCCCTACTAGGTTAGCTAGATACAGAGTGTCCACTGGTGTGTTTACAAACCCTGAGCTACACACAGAGTGCTGATTGTTGTATTTACAAACCTTCAGCTGGATACAGAGTGCCGATTGGTGCATTTACAATCCCTTGGCTAGATGTAAAGCTTCTCCAAGTCCCTACCAGAGTAGCTAGATACAGAGTGTCAATTGGTGCATTCACAAACCCTGAGCTAGACACAGGGTGCTGATTGGTGTGTTTACAAACCTTAAGCTAGATACAGAGTGCTGACTGGTGTATTTACAATCCCTTAGCTGGACATAAAGGTTCTCCAAGTCCCTACCAGAGTAGCTAGATACAGTGTCCATTGGTGCGTTCACAAACCCTGAGCTAGACACAGGGTGCTGATTGGTGTGTTTACAAACCTTGAGCTAGAGACAGAGTGCTGATTGGTGTATTTACAATCCCTTAGCTAAACATAAAGATTCTCCAAGTCCCCGCCAGATTCAGAAGCCCAGCTAGCTTCACCCAGTGGATCCCGCACTGGGGCCGCAAGTGGAGCTGCCTGTCAGTCCCGCGCCGTGCGCCCGCGCTCCTCAGCCCTTGGATGGTTGATGGGACTGGGCGCTGTGGAGCAGGGGGCGGTACTCGTCGGGGAGGCTCAGGCCGCGCAGAAGCCCGGGATTGGGGGGCGGCTCAGGCATGGTGGGCCGCAGGTCCCGAGGCCTGCCTCGCGGGGAGGCAGTGAAGGCCCGGCGCGAAGTCGAACACAGCAGCTGCTGGCACAGGTGCTAAGCCCCTCACTGCCCGGGGCCGGCGGGGCCAGCTGGCTGCTCCGAGTGCGGGGCCCGCGGAGCCCACACCCACGCGGAACTCGCGCTGGCCCGCAAGCGCCGCGCCCAGCCCCAGTTCCCGTCCGTGCTTCTCTTTCCACACCTCCCGGCAAGCTGAGGGAGCCGGCTTCGGCCTTGGCCAGCTCAGGAAGGGGCTCCCACAGTGCAGCGGCGGGCTGAAGGGCTGCTCAAGTGCCGCCAAAGTGGGAGCCCATGGAAAAGAAGTGCCCAGAGCGAGTGAAGGCTGCCAGCACGCTGTCACCTCTCACTAGCACTTTAGGAGGCTGAGACGGGCGGATCACCTGAGGTCAGCCTGGCCAACGTTGTGTTGGGAACACAATGTTGAGAACAGCCTGGCCAACATTGTGAAGCCCCGTCTCTACTAAAAATACAAAAATTAGTTGGGCGTGGTGGCAGGCGCCTGTAATCTCAGCTACTGGGGAGACTGGAAAGAGAATCGCTTGAACCGGGGAGGCAGAGGTTGCAGTGAACCGAGATCGTGCCTTTGCACTCCAGCCTGGGAGACAAGAGCGACTTTGTCTCAAAAAAAAAAAAAAAAAAAAAAAATCAGCCACCAAACATGCCCCCACTATCACCAGGGTCTGTTGATGTAATCCTTCTTTGAGGGGAATGCCTGCTGTCCTGCACAGTCTACAGTTCTGGCCCTCAGCAGCCTGTCCTCCGCTTGCTTGAGTACAAGCTAATAATCGGAACCCAAGAGCACACCTCCCTCTAGAGGAGCAAACATTATTGCAAAGCCAATGAACAATTCCTATCGCAAAATTAAAATAGCACAGGGTAAAAAGTTGCCTTATGAGATTATGATTCATAGAAAAGGCATACCTGACCTGTGTGATCATCGACACTTTCAACCCATTTATTTTATTTGTTATTTATTATTTATCTATTTTTTGAGATGGAGTCTGGCTCTGTCACCCAGGCTGGAGTGCAGTGGCACGATCTCGGCTCACTGCAAGCTCCACCTCCTGGGTTCATGCTATTCTCCTCTCTCAGCCTCCCAAGTAGCTGGGACTACAGGCATCCGCCACCACGCCAGGCTAATTTTTTGTATTTCTAGTACAGATGGGGTTTCACCGTGTTAGCCAGGATGGTATCAATCTCTTGACCTCGTGATCCGCCCGCCTCTGCCTCTCAAAGTGCTGGGATTACAGGCATGAGCCACTGCACCTGGCCATTTTATTTTTAATGAACAAGTCCTTTCAGGATTTGTAATTCCAACTTGGCTGTTCCAAATCATTTGTTTTGTTTTTTTTTAATAACAGAATTTTAAAGATGAAATGTTAAGACCATCTAGACCAAGTTGGACTAGATAACCCAATTCCCTCAATTTACAGATGAGCAGTTTCCCCCGAAAGGAAAGAGGCTTGCCCAGTTCCATGGCAGGTTGCCAGTAATAGCCAAGAGAGGGATCTTGGACTAAAGTCGGCAACCCCATTTCCCTTGAGCAAGGTTGACAATATTTACATGCAGAGGCAGCCGGAGACAACATCCCAACATTGCTGTCATATTGGTACTATTTAAGGAAAAATCAGATTGGGCAAGACTGAGTACCCACTAACAATCACACCAGTCCCATGGGACTGGGGCACTATTTCACAACCTGTTGGAGGAAAGGATCATGGCAGTGTCACTGTGGGAATTTGTCAGGCTACCAAGTAGGCCGAGGTCTTGTTTAAACTCAGGGCCATCTCTTGGAATCAATAGCTCTTTAAATTTATCAGCTATAACATTTGGGAAGAGATGATGACGTGTGAACACACGTCTTGATTTCATAAAGCTTCCCATTTTCCTATTTTCTTTTCTTTTTTTTTTTTTTGTTTTTGAGACATTGTCTCGCTCTGTTGCCCAGGCTGGAGTACAAAGGCATGATCTCGGCTCACTGCAACCTCTGCCTCCTGGATTCAAGCGATTCTCCCACCTCAGCCTCCTGAGTAGCTGGGATTACAGGCGCCTGCCACCATGTCCGGCTAATTTTTGTATTTTTGTAGAGACAGGGTTTCACCATGTTGGCGAGGCTGGTCTTGAACTCCTGACCTCAGGTGATCCACCTGCCTTGGCCTCCCAAAGTGCTGGGAGCCACCATGCCCGGCCCCATTTTCTCACATATTGTGATGATTTGGGATTAACTCATTAGGTAATCTTTTTTTGGCTGAGCCCTTTGGATGATAGTCAAATGGTCTCACATGGTCAAGATTAAAATAGCAACATTCCTCGATTATCTTAGTCTAATTTAATCTTAGTCTAATCAGTTCCATTGGCTTGAGTGCCTTCCGCACCAAGGGTCAATGACAAAACAGGCTCTGTTGCAGGGTGTAGCACTTGAGCCCCCAGACCCGACTCCGGCTGCCATTGGAAAACATGGCCGCTGGTCACAGGGAGGGTCTGACTAGAAGGTGCAGATCAACCCACGTCGACTCCTTATTTTCATTTTTATGAACGTGAGGGGTGTGATCCATGGATGGAATAGCCTGATCTTTGTTTAGGAAACACAACATATTATTCAGTTAAGTATTTGTTGGGCATTGACTACGTTTCAGGCACCATGCTAGGAGCAGGGATACAAAACAAAACAAAGACAGAAATCCCTGCCCTTGTGGAGCTTACACTATAGACGGAGGTGGAAGGCGAGGAAAGAGACACGGTATGAATAAGTAAATTCAACATGTGAGTTTAGGTTGTTAGAAGAGCTATAGAAAAATAATGCAAGTGAGCTGACAAGGCATGTGGGGCCTTTGGGAAGCAGGCAGGATGGCAATTTCAAAGAGTGGTTAGAACAGGTCTCACAGAAGTGGTATTGCCTTTTTTTTTTTTTTTTTTTTTTTTTTTTTGAGACAGAGTTTCACTCTGTCGCCCAGGCTGGAGTGCAGTGGTACGATCTTGGCTCACTGCAACCTCTGCCTCCCAGGTTCAAGCGATTCTCCTGCCTCAGCCTCCCGAGTAGCTGGGATTACAGGTGCACACCACCACTCCCGGCTAATTTTTGTATTTTTAGTAGAGACAGGGTTTTGCCATGTTGTCCAGGCTGGTCTTGAAATCCTGACCTCAGCTGATCCACCTTCCTCAGCCTCCCAAAGTGCTGGGATTACAGGCATAAGCCACCGCGCCTGGCTGATATTGTCTTTTAAAACAAGGATCAGGTTGGCAAAATGAATTCTATCTGCATTTGTTCAATATACAAGTTATCTTACTGCACCCACTAATAGAATCTAAATTTCAGAACCAAAAGGGCATTTCATGACACCAAGCTAGGTGAGTACTGGCATTATAATTCTGCCTAGACCTATCTTCTTAGCTCACATGGTTTAACCTGATGCCTAGGCAAAAGAAGTTACTTGAAAGTAGTAAGTAAAATAACAAATACATAGACACTTGTATAATATAGCACTACTACGTGATAAGCCATGTTGAGTGCTCAATATACTTAAACATATTTTTAGAAAACATTTTATTGGCTGGGTGTGGTAGATGTAATCCCAGCACTTTGGGAGGCCGAGGCAGGAGGATTGCTTGAGCCCAGATGGTCGAGGGAGGCTGAGGCAGGAAGATCACTTGAGCCTAGGAGGTCGAGGCTGCAGTGAGCTAAGAAGGTGCCACTGCACTCCAGCCAGGGCAAGAGAGTGAGACGCTCTTAAAAATTGTTTTAAAAAACCTTTTTCTTAGAGAAATTTTTATATACAAAAATAGAACAGTATTATGAATCCCCACATATCCATTACCCAGCTTTAGCAATTATTAACATTCTGCAAATCTTGCTTCATCTACTGCCACTTTTCTTTAGAGACAGGGTGGAGTATTTTAAAGCAATCCCAGACATCCTATTCATTAAGACTTCAGTAGATACTTGAAGGGAACACATTTTTTAAAAATGTAACCACAATGTCACTATCATATGTAATAAGATGAACAATTCCTTACTACCATCTAATACATATTTCATTTTAACTTTCCTTTTTTTAAAAAAACCATCCCAATTTTTTTTACAATTGGTTTGATTTCATCAGGATCCAAATGCAGTACCCAGCATTGGGATATGTGGTCTGAAACCACTTGTGCTTTCTTTTTTTTTTTGAGATGAAGTCTCACTCTGTTGCCCAAACTGGAGTGCAGTGGTGCGATCTCCGCTCACTGCAACCTCCACCTCTCAGGTTTAAGCGATTCTCCTGCCTCAGCCTCCCAAGTAGCTGGGATTACAGGCATGTGCCACCATGCCCAGCTAATTTTTGTATTTTTAGTAGAGACGGGGTTTCACTATGTTGACCAGGCTGGTCTTGAATTCCTGACCTCGTGATCTGCTCGCCTTGGCCTCCCAAAGTGCTGGGATTATAGGCATGAGCCACAGTGCCCTGCCTTCCATTTTTTTTTTTTTTCCTTATGGAGTCTCCCTTATTCCAGATTTGGTTGTGTCCTCATAGGATCATTTATCCTGTTCCTGCGTCCTGTGTTTCCTGTAAACTGCTAGTTACATCTAGTGGCCACATAGTTCAGGTTCAATGTTTTTAGGGGCAGGTGAGGTATTTTACAGATGGTTCTGTGTACTTCCTTTTACATCACAACAGGAGCACCTATGGGGCTGGCTGCTCCGCTTTCAATGACAAAGCAATGGGTTCGGGTACTATCAGCCTGATCCAACCATTGCAAACTTTCCCACCAGCTCTTCTCAGCATCCTTCACAATAATCTATGAGGGAGGTGCTACTATTACTTCCACAATGGTTACAGCATTTGCCTTCTTAATGGTGTCAGGGTCTGAGACCCTGCACCACCTTCTGCAACACCATCAACTGGGACTAAGATCTCTGGAAGGCATAGATGCAAGATAGTACTTCTTTCCTTACAAAACTGGCTTTAATGATTTCATACCAATATTATGGTTTCCCTTGAAACAGTTAAAAGCCTTCATGTCCAAGGCAACACAAACCCAAAGGATATGAAAGTTAAATACTCCAACCAAAATGCAGGGAATGTGACACCCTAATCCCATTTAGGAGACAGAATGTGGAGAGTTCTTGGTTTTGATCCCTGCGCTTGAAATCTTCATGGGAAACTATACTTGAGGAGAATCTGCTCACGCTGCCAATCCTTTTAGCTCTTCCATCAAAAAAGTAAACCTCAGAAATCAAAGTAAAGCTCTGAACAGTCAAGGTCTTTATTTACGATGTGTATAGACCACTAGAAATTAGAGAGTATATCAAGCTTTTGAAAATGAAAAGGATTTTTTAGAGATAGCATTCAGAGCCTGACATTTGAGATGTCCTTAAATTTCATTTTTACCTGCATCTGGAGGAACTTTTATTTAATCTCTTCCTTTTCTGAGCCAAAAGGTTAATGAAATCACAGTCACAAAACAGGATGGGCCCACAGCCAAGAAACAAGCTGCTAGCACAGAATTAAACAGAATACTCATGAAAAGGAAAGATCTCAAACAACTCTTAGTACCAAGCTATAAAGTTTTTCAACATCTTGGGTCTGTCTTCATCAAGTTAGCGATAAAGCTGAAGAAAACTTGATGTTAGCCAAGAACCATGGATTCATACTTGACCAGACCTGGGCAAAGAGCTGCCACCATTCTCATTTCTTCACTAAAAGACCACTTTCAAATGGTGGTGCTGGCTGGGAGTGGTGGCTCACGCCTGTAATCCCAGCACTTTGGGAGATGAGGTGGGCGGATCACCTAAGGTCAGGAGTTCGAGACTGGCCTGGCTAACATGGTGAAACTCTGTCTCTACTAAAAATACAAAAATTAGCCAGGTGTGGTGGCGGGCACCTGTAATCCCAGCTACTTGGGAGGCTGAGGCAGAATCACTTGAACCTGGGAGATGAAGGTTGCAGTGAGGCAAGATCTCACCACTGCGCTCCAGCCTGGGCGACAGAGCGAGACTCCATCTCAAAACAAACAAACAAAAAGAAATGGTGGTACTTTCAGGCTGAGAAACACTCTATTCCTGAACAGGTCTATCAAAGGAAGAATAAGAGTGACAGCAGCATAGGAAACAGCTGTAATTTTGTGCTTCAAAGAAGTTACCCAGATTTCTCATAGTAAACTTTTAGAAACATCTGCATTATTTTGATGGATGAGAAAAACAACAAAACATGAAATCAGATATATCTACAACCACCAAAATAATGTCCCCAGCTTTGGGCCAAGAGACCCAAACTTCACCTTTCCAAGTAGAAAGTAACTGTACAACCAATAATCCATTAACACTAAAACCTGCCAAACAATCAAAACTCAATTGTTATCAAAGTCAGCAAGCAGCCCTGCTAGTTGTTTGCCTAAGATTAGGCTCCTTCTAAGCCTTCTGATGAGGATGATAATTTCAGACAAGGTTGGCAAGAATACGATGAGTGGCTATTAACCAGCCACAGCCTTATGACCCAGAATCCAAACAAGGATACAGCCACATGAGCAAGAGGGGTATCAGAAAAGCTTTTCTCAGGTTAGAATCTTCATTACCAACTCTTGATGTTTTACAAGTCACTTCCTCCCAGCAGCAATGTAAGAGAATGAACTGCCCCACAATCTGGCTATTGCTACATCTGGCCAAGTGGCACTGATTCCAAGCTTGGAAACTGCATGAGATTCAGCAAAAGACAGCACTGAGCAGCTTGACCTCCTAATGCAAACATACCATGTCGGAGAGTAAGATCAAAACAAACACAAGAGTTAGAAGATCCTGAAGATAAACTCCCCAGATGTGTGCAGGATTGATATCTGCTTTTGCTTTTTCTTTTGTTGTGCTAACTGTAGACTATTTTAGAGGGATTATTTTTGTGTTTCATTGAAATTATATTTCATATTTTGAACTTTATAGTCAAAATAAACATAAAGAGCTCAAATGATTTCCCCCTATAACCCACTGTCAAATAAGCAGGGGCAAGCTTCAGTTTAAGTGAAAACTAGGGGTTGATTTATAGAAATTATTTCTAAATGCAATGACTACAAGAGTCACTTCCAACATAAAGTATATCATTAAAAAAATTAAATTGGTAATTTCTTTTAGTATCTGTACTATGTTGTGATGTAAGGTTTTATCTCACCCTCCTACCCTCCCCAAACCTGCTCCCGTCCAGTCTTTCCCATCACAGTAAGTGGCAACTCCAGTCATCTCAGTTGCTGCTCAGGTCAGAAACCCTGAAGTCACCCTTCACTCCACGCAATCTCATCTCTTCCCTTAGAATGTGCAACCACTTCTCTCATGTCTGCCACCATCCTATACCAAGCCATCAGCGTCTCTTGCTTGGGTTTACTTCAATGAACATACCCACTGGTCTCCCACCCTTGCTTCCTGATCAATTCTCCACAGAGGCCAGAGTAATCCTTTTAAAACAGAAGTCAGATCATATCACTCCCCTGCCAAAACCCTCCCACAGCCGTACACTATCTGATTGCATCTACTACTTTCTCCCTTGATGATGATGTCTCAGCCCTGTTTCTGGAAGATGTCACGTACACTCCTGCCTCAGGGCTTTGCAACTGCTGGTTGTTCTGCCTGGCATGTTCTTCCTTCTTGTTATGCAAACAATTCACCTTCTTCAAGTATTTGCTCAAATATCAGCCCTCAGTAAGGCCTTTCCAAGAACCCTATTTTAAACTGCAAACTCTTTCATCTATAGGCGCCCTCTCATCTCTGCATTATTTCTCTCCATAGAATTTATCACCTGCTGATACACTGCTTTTTACTTACTTTGGTTAATGTCTTATCTTCCTATCAAAATGTAAACTACTCAAAGGTAGTAATTTTTGTCTAGTTTGTTTTCTGCTGTATCCCCAGCAACTAAAATACTCAAATTTTTGATGAATGAATGAATATGCCAAATGATTGAATTGTAAAAAACTTTATGAACTGAGAGGTCCTAACTCCAAAAAGAACATTAAAGACGAAGTGTAAGAGCATTACAAATGATCGCCAATACACACAAAGGCAGAGTTGCAGTGAAAATCAACAGCCAGCTGAACTGTGGGTGAAATTCCCTTTATATAAACATGGCCTTATAATCAGATGACCTCAGATGGGTCTCTGGTGTGTACAAAGAAAGCAAAACCAATTTTCCCATGAGTGCCTCTGGACACTCATGTAAGAGTTACAGATGTTGACTACATTTAAACATTTATCATGCTTCCAAAAACATATTTGTAAGAGAAAAAAATATAAAAATAAAAATGTACAAAGTTCTTTATTAAAATAATAGCTTAAATAAATCCTCTGTCAACACCAGACAGAGTCAGTGACTGGATCTAGACTCTAGAGCTTAGAGCTTTTTACATAGTTACATGAAAACATTTGAATCCGTCTTCACAGACAGTGCCACGATGACAATCTGGTTAAAACCAATAAGCCATCTTCCAGATGCAGCTTAAGAGTTCAGGCGAGAAAAGGAACTGAGGAAAATGACTGTACATAATATGGTTCTCATTCTATTTGCCTTTTTTCGTCTTGGCTGTCTTCTCCTTTCTTTTTTTCACATGTTTAGGAATTTTGTTTTTTCTTTTCTCTCTCTGGGCTTCCTTGACCATCTTTTTTCTTTCCTGTAAAAAACAAACAAAAAAGCCAACTTTCATTCATTTGGAGTATGCATTTTTTGTTTTTGTTTTTTGTTTTTTGTTTTTTAGACAGGGTCTTGCTCTGTCGCCCAGGCTGGAGTCAGTGGCGTGACCATGGTTCACTTCAGCCTCCACCTCCTGGGCTCAAGCAATCCTCCCACCTCAGCCTCCTGGGTAGCTGGGACAACAGGTGTGCACCACCACACCTGGCTAGGTTTTTTTGGGGTATTTTTTGGTAGAGATGGGGCTTCGCCAGATTGCACAGGCTGGTCTCGACCTCCTGGGCTCAAGTGATCCACCCACCTTGATCTCCCAAAATGCTGAGATTACAGGCATGAGCCACTGCACCCACCTGGAGTATTATTATGATTATAACTAAATAAAATACACACATAGAAGAATAAAAGTGAGTGTAATGTAAAGAAAAGAAAAGAAAATGATTATGGGTTGGTGGAGGAACTTGGGGTGAAAACTGTCTTTCAGTTTTTTCTTTTTAGAGACAGGGACTCACTCTGTCACCCAGGCAGGAGGGCAGTGGCATGACCATTGTGCACTGCAGCCTCAAGCTCCTGGGCTCAAGCAATCCTCTTGCCTCAACCTCCCCAGTAGCTGAGACTACAGGCATGAGCCACCATAACCGGCCTTGAGCTTCCTCTTTTTTTTTTTTTTTTTGAGACGGAGTCTCTGTCGCCCAGGCTGGCATGCAGTGGCGTGATCTCGGCTCACTGCAAGCTCCGCCTCCTGGGTTCACGCCATTCTCCTGCCTCAGCCTCCCAAGGAGCTGGGACTACAGGCGCCTGCCACCACGCCCGGCTAATTTTTTGTATTTTTAGTAGAGATAGGGTTTCACCATGTTAGCCAGGATGGTCTCGATCTCCTGACCTCGTGATCCACCTGCCTTGGCCTCCCAAAGTGATGGGATTACAGGCGTGAGCCACCGCGCCCAGCTGAGCTTCCTTAATAGAAATGTGAAGACAGCCAAACAGAAATATCCCTAAGAATGTTATTAAATGTTTGCAAATACTTTTCTTTACAAGTTCCATATTCTAACAGAAATAGACATTGGAAAGAGACAAAATATGTGTTTCTAGTAGACATATGAGAAAATATGCTAGCAGCTGAGTATGTCCCTCAGAAGTCTTGGGACCCACATTGTATAAGGTTTAAAGGATTAGACTAAGATGGAATAATAATAGTCACATAGCACTCAGTCAGCAGTGTCTCTATGTCTATGGCTAGGGATTAAAGAAATACAAGAGTCCCTTCTTATCCATGGGGGATATGTTCCAAGACTCCCAGTGGATGCTTAAGACTGTGGATAGTGCCAAACCCTATATATACTATGCTTCTACCTATACATACGTACCTATGATGAGGTTTAATTTATAAATTAGGCACAGTAAGAGATAATAACTAATAACAGAATGGTAACAATATACTATAGTAAAAGTTATTTGAATGTGGTCTCTCTCTCCAAATATCCCACAGTATCATACTCATGTGACAGTAGCTTCTTCATTGGCAGATGCAGCCTCTCTGGTAATTTTTCTATTTTTTAGTCCAAACCTATTCCTGAATCTGTGTAACTATTCCTTACAGTAAATGGCCTGGTGGCACTCATTTCAGGGGAACCCTTGCTGAAACCTTTGAAACCTTCGTATAGGCTCAGTGCTTTCTGGTGCAACATGGTGCCATCAACTGGAAGATGTTTTTGTTTACGTCTTTCACCCACAAATTTCATGCCTTTTCCATCTTAACTAAGCAGTTATCACATGCTATGGTCCTAAGTTTTGCAGTTTGGGGTGAGACAGCAAAACCAGCACAAACATCTTTTTCCTTCTCCACAATGTCACGGATAAAAGATTCTCACCAGCAACTTCAGCATATGATTCTTTTCCTTTTATTTATTTTTTTGAGACAGAATCTCACTCTGTCACCCAGGCTGGCGTGCAGTGGCATGATCAGCTCACTAGAACCTCAAACTTCTGGACTCAAGGGATCCTCTTGCCTTAGCCTCCCAAGTATTTGGGACTACAGGTGCTCATCACCAATGTTTTAATAGAGACGGGGTATCACTCTATTGCCCAGACTGGTCTGGAGTGATCCGCCCTCCTTGGCCTCCCAAAGTGCTAGGATTACAGGCATGAGTTCCTTGTTAAGTCAAGAATGGTCACCTTTCCACTTAAAGGAAGCATTTTATGGCTTCTCTAAAGCATACCTGAAATTCCAACATCACTACTCCTGTAATTTACGGTCATTATTAAGCAAAGTAAGGGTTACTTGCACACAAGCACCACAACATCACAGCAGCTGAACTGATAGCCAAGAAGGCTACTAAGTGACTAACGGGTGGGGAGTGTCGACAGTGTGAAGACGCTGGACCACGTGATGATTCACATTCCAGGCAGGATGGAGGAGGACAGCATGAATTTCATCACACTACTTAGGACGGTGAGCAATTTAAAACTTATAAATTGTTTACTTCTGGAATTTTCCATTTAATATTTGCAAACCAAGGCTGACTGCAGGGAACTGAAACAGTAGAAACTGAAAGCATGGATGGGGGGACTATTATATGGTCTTTCAGATTCCAGAAACATCAAGCTGGGCTATAAATCCCCCTGAAATGGCTCTTCAGTATTTACCCTGGGTCAACTCTAACATCACTTGTACTTCATGTGAAATGTACTGAATTTAGTGCGTGCTCTCTCTAGGCAATGCCCAAGGTGCTCTGATGAGCAGCCCAATCTCAAGATAATGTTACCACCAAAAGTCAAGTTCACACTTAGGTATTAAAACTGTAATTAGAGGTACTTATCAATAATGTTTTCAGCCATCATAATCTAGCTAGATCCTTGAGCAAAGAGAAATAAGAGCGGCTGTGCTCCCACACTAAAGAAAAGGGGAAGGTATTTCATTGCTTACTTTTTTATCAATGTCAGGGTCCGTGGTGTGTTTCTTGGGGCGGGCATGGTCTCCCTGCTCTTCAGAGTCTGTGTCAGAGCACTCAGAGCTTCCAATATCTTCTGAATCAGAACAAGTCCTTTCCTCCACTTGATTTTCTAGGAGTGCAGGGACCTTGAAATTATTAAAGAACCATGTTATTCTAAACAACACACAAACCAAGTTATGTGTTGTTGTTAAATGTGTTAATGCCAGAATTCAGATTTTAGGCTCGCAAATATATGTTAAAAACTAACATCCTGTACTGAAACATCAAAACACCAGAATGAACATCAGGAGGGAAACATGAAAGTAGCCACTCCAAGTAAGGCTCCAGAACATACTCAAATGAAGGAACCAGGGCTTTACTGCGTGACCTAGATCAACAACAGAGCTGTTCTCCTTCTTTCAGCTAATCAGGAGCATTTAGTTGGGATTGGGAAAGAGGCAAAATATACATAGAGGTAGAAAATGAAGATTTATATGGATAACTTCACAGCTGTTTTCCTGTGAACCACATTTCTAGCAATAAACTAATCCAATTGGGAGGGAAAACAATATGTGAAGAAGAGAAATTTTCATTACTTCCTGAAATTCAGCAGTTGTCTAATACAGCGCTTCCTAGCAGTTTTTAAGAGTGAGGTTTCCCTTTTATAAGAAAAAAACAGATCTTTAGAAGTCAATTGTACAACAAGATTTTCTAGCTTGCTGCAATAAAATCTTCATGCTCTGGAATCCAAAGCATAACTTCCTTATGACACCTGTTATTATAACTCAGAAATGCAAAATACCAGAATTCCCCTAATTCAATTCTTTCCACAGAAAAGACATGATTTTAAGAAAGCAAACTGTGATCCTTTATTTAAGTCTTCAATTAGGAAGATTTAAAAAAATAAAGACTGCTTTTATGACTGCCTAAGTTAGAATTACTTAATCCCTGCCCTTCTAAAATGTAAAACAAAACAAGATTGTTTTAAGAAAAAAGAACATCACAGGAATCCAGCACAGCAGGACTTGCTGAACTCATGAGATTGTTCTTTAACAAGTAATACCCTGGTAGGAGACTACATTCCAAAGTTCTCCTAAGCTGGTTGTAAAACCATCAAGAAGCACAATGGCTATCATTAAGAGCTCCACAAATGACGACCAGGATACAAAAAGATAAATACCTCACCTGCAATCACTGAACAATTCAGAGACAGAAAGAAAAATAAATTAATTTCCAAATTTCAGTGCTGTGTTTAGAAAGAACACAAAAATGGCATTTCTGAAGATGTCCACAGACTTTGAAAGCAATTATAACATTTTAACAATATAAAATAACATTTAGTTCTAATAATATTAAATAATAATAAAAAACAGTATGACTAGAGTTTATATCCTTTAAAACTGTTTTCACATAAACAAACAGTAACACATGTTCTTCATACCTTCTGAACTCCTGACAAATCTTTCTTCAATCCTGTAACAGTCTGGTATAGAATCTTATAACCAAAATGAAAAAAAAAAAATAAGGATCAACATAAAACTAGACAATGAAATATGCATATTGCACTATTAAGAACAATGTGGGTTAAATAATGTCTCCTATGATTATAAAAAGGTATCTAAAATTAATCTCACTGTAACACAGGAAGTTTATAATATTGATATTATTTCTGTCTACCAGATCTACTGGCCAAATCCAACCAGCCACCTGGTAGTTGTTTTTTTTTTTTTTTGAGACGGAGTCTTGCTTTGTGGCCTAGGCTGGAGTGCAGTGGCGCGATCTTGGCTCACTGCAACCTCCACCACCTGGGGTTCAGGAGATTCTCCTGCCTCAGCCTCCTGAGTAGCAGGGATTACAGCTGCCACGATGCCCAGCTAATTTTTATATTTTTAGTAGAGACGAGGTTTCACCATGTTGGCCAGGCTGGTCTCGAACTCCTGACTTCAGGTGATCCACCCACCTCGGCCTCCCAAAGTGCTGAGATTACAGGTGTGAGCCTCCGTACTGGGCCTTTTTTTTTTTTGAGACAGAGTTCCGCTCTGTAGCCTAGGCTAAAGTCCAATGGCGCAATCTCAGCTCACCGCAGCCTCCGCCTCCCGGGTTCAAGTGATTCTCGTGCCTCAGCCTCCCCAGTAGCTTGGATTACAGGAGCACGCCACCATGCCTGGCTAATTTTTGTATTTTTAGTAGAGACAGGGTTTCACCATGTTGGCCAGGTTGGTCTCGAACTCCTGACCTCAAGTGATCCGCCCACCTTAGCCTCCCAAAGGGCTGGGATTACAGGTGTGAGCCACTGCGCCCAGCCTACCTGGTAGTTTTTACAGATAAACATTTGCAATCAATTTGAAGATAGCAAACACAAACTTTGAGCCCCAATTAAGTGAAATATTATCTGCCCCACATCAAATAATTCCACTCTTCTTTAGTATACTTGTATTACACAAAAGTGTATTCAACTATTATTAAAGTATTTCTAATTTCACGAATAAAAATTGAGGGTGAATTTTTTTCTCTCTTGTTACATAAGGACCTACGTAATCACCTCAATTTTGTTTCTTGGCTTGCAAAGCCTAAAATATTTACTATCTGACCCTTCACCAAAAAGAAATTGTTCCTGAATGATGTATGTTAAAGAAATATATGTTAATGGACCTAATATAATAACCATTAATAGCCTAGACTTCTATCTGAATCTTGTTTCTACAATTACAGCTTGTTGGATTCATTCAAATGTGTTACCTCCTCTCATAAATTCCAAATAATTCCCTTTGCGTTCAATGTGCACACAAGTTAACACAGATAGAGTTAGTCATTTCACTAGCTCAGAAGCCAATATTCAAGATTAGGGGAACTTAAAAGGCCCAGATAGGTTTGGGACAGTCCCCTACTACTTTTGAAGAGCTGCTTGCTATATACAAACCAAGCTACTTACATTATCTTGTTGGGCATTCATGGCCATGTCCTCTTCCTTCAATTTCATAATTATGTCCATATCCCTCTCATAATTTTTCACTTCATTCAAGGTTCTAGGAATATATGCTCGCTTAAACACCTAACAGAGAGGAAAAGCAAAATCAAAACTGTTATTCATACACTTCTCACATTCACACAGCATACTCCTCCATCAGGTTACAGGGGAATCTATATATTCATTCATCCCTAACACTGATGCTTGGCTAAGCTGTCTGCACACACTGGTATCCCATCTGTGATGTGGTGTCCCAAAAGTAACACTACTAATGATAGAACACTAAATTTTGCATATGATTTATTTTAAGGAAGGGAAAAAAAACATTAGAGCTGATTCAAGATTATCCTTAGAATAACACTTCTCCTTCATTTTTGTTCCAAAAAGCTTTTCTGAGCAGGAGGGAAAGGGGCGGAATTACAGTTGGCAAGCGCTGCCTGGCTATGCCTTACGAAACATACCCAGCTGCTACAGTGAAAAAGGTGGAGAGCTGCCGACAAACACAGGGCACCTCATAGTCAACCATTAAGAGTTGTGAGAATTTTTTTTAAAAGCCTACTATGGCTCCTTCACAAAAAAACACCCTGACTCGTTTTTATCAAAGCATAATATTTAAAATCTATAACATTTCTAGAATCAATATTTAAGTCATTTAAAAACTCACATTTGCAAATTAAAAACAGGCTTTTCCTTCTTGACGCCTATATCCTAACAGGCTCTTTAAAAATTTTCTCCATCTAGGACAATGGGCTAACAGGTTGCTGAGTGGACCAATACAGTGAAATGTAAACTATCCAACTTGGCTCACTTAAATCATTTACTATAATATATCTTAAGGAAATATTACCATCATTTGAAAAAGCTGCTTATCTATTTAAATCAAGTTTATGCTCTAGCAACATAAAAAAAAAAACCCTCAAAACACAAGTGTTTCCAAAGGCTGTGAATAGATAATAAATCCTACCTCTTCATCCACATGATCTTGGCTAGACCGTTCTTCCTTGGTCCTTTGAGATGCTATTTCCATGGCCTTGGAAAGAAAACAAAAATGACTTTCTTTTATATTCAAACTGCAGAAGGCACATCCATGTCCCAGTTTTGGTATAAAATTGTTCCAGTCTTTTTAAGTATCACCTCCTCACACTTAGGAAAGCATTTAGTGAGGTCTAATGGTACAAGTTAGCTTTCCAGCACAGACCTCACCAAAAAGGCTGCCATCAACCCAAAAGTAACAATAAATCAAACTCTTCTAGCCTAGGGGGATCCCTAGCCCCCCTTTTTCAAAAGTTATGCTACTTTTACTAAATTTAAATAATTAGCTTTTGCATTTAGTAAATGCTTTAGCATTTACTAAAGGAATACAGAGACCTAAAGAATGAAAGAACCATTCCTTAAATCCTGAGCAGTCGGCGAAGGGAATTGCAAAGGCTGGCTGTAAATCTTGAATATACGGCTTTATTGCTGCTGCACTGAAGAAAGCTCTCTGAGCAAACAATGACTGAAACGAGGGTGACAAAGATTCCAAAGGGTTCTTTTGGTTTGTAAAACTGAGTGTTCTCTTCTCTATATAGAAGAAAGGAAAAAATAGTGGGAGCAGAGGTTTTTTTTTTTTTTTTTTTTGAGTTTAGACACGAAAATCAGTGCTGACCCAGGCACAGTGGCTCACGCCTCTAATCCCAGCACTTTGGGAGGTGAGGCCAGCAGATCACCTGAGATCAGGAGTTTGTGACCAGCCTGGGCAATATGGGGAAACTCCGTCTCTACTAAAAATACAAAAATTAGGCCAGGTGCAGTCTAATTACAGGCTCATGCCTGTAATCCCAGCACTTTGGGAGGCTGAGGCTCACGCCTGTAATCCCAGCACTTTGGGAGGCTGAGGCTCACGTCTGTAATCCCAGCACTTTGGGAGGCTGAGGCGGCTGGATCATGAGATCAGGAGTTCCAGACCAGCCTAGTCAACATGGTGAAAACCCGTCTCTACTAAAAACACAAAAATTAGCCAGGCATGCTAACATGCACCTGAAATCTCAGTTACTTGGAGGCTGAGGCAGGAGAATCACTTGAACCCGGGAGGCAGAGGTTGTGGTGAGCCGAGATCGTGCCACTGTACTCCAGCATGGGTGAGAGAGCCAGACTCCATCTCAAACACACACACACACACACACACACACACACACACACACACACACACACACACACACAATTAGTCGGGAGTGGTGGTGGGCTCCTGTAATCCCAGCTACTGGGTGCCTGTAATCCCAGCTACTGGGGAGGCTGAGGCAGAAGAACTGCTTTAACCTGGGAGGCGGAGATTGCAGTGAGCCGAAATTGCACACTGCACTCCAGCCTGGGTGACAAGAGCGAAACTCCGTCAAAAAAATAAATAAATAAAAGAGGCCGGGTGCGGTGGCTCACACCTATGATCCCAGCACTTTGGGAGGCCGAGGCGGATGGATCACCTGAGGTCAGGAGTTCAAGGCCAGCCTGACCAACATGGAGAAACCCCATCTCTACTAAAAATACAAAATTAGCTGGGCATGGGGGCGCATGCCTGTAATCCCAGCTACTCGGGAGGCTGAGGCAGGAGAATCGCTTGAACCCAGGAAGCAAAGGTTGCAGTGAGCCGAGATTGCCCCACTGCACTCCAGCCTGGGCAACAAGAGGGAAACTCCATTTAAAAAAAAAAAAAAGAAAAAGAAAAAGAAAGTCAGTGCTAAGTTAAAAAGTTGAGGAATAAAAATGACACACTTATTTATTCCATTAACAGATGTGATTGCCTACTATGGGCCAGATATTGGGTACTTGGCAATAGAGAAAACTCCTGTTCCATAAAAGTTCATAATTGAGGGTGACAGAATTAGGGACTTAGTATAATAAGTGACACAGTGTGACTACTTCTATTATAGTTGTAGGAGACTACACCTATGAAAACAATTTCTGCTGAAATACCCCTCCAGAGAGCTTTCTAACTGGAGCTTTAAAGTTCACCAGGCGGAGCAAAGTTGAGCAAAGGCAGAAATGGGAAGGTATTGCAAGGAAATGGAAAAAGAGGAAAGGACAGGATAAAACCTGAAGACCTGGCCAGGCAAGGCGACTTATGCCTGTAATCCCAGCACTTTGGGAGGCCGAGGCAGGCGGATCTCCTGAGGTCAGGAGTTCGAGACTTGCCATGGCCAACATGGTGAAACCTTATCTCTACAAAAATACAAAAATTAGCTGGGCATGATGGCAGGTGCCCATAATCCCAGCTATTCAGGAGGCTGAGGTGGGAGAATCACTTGAATCCAGGAGGTGGAGGTTACAGTGAGCTGAGATTGTGCCATTGCACTCCAGCCTGGGCAACAGAACGAGACTCCATCTCAAAAACAAACAAACCTGAAAACCTGTGTAGAGGCATACATGCCATGTGTTCAAAACTCTATGATTCAGAGACAAAAATAAAAATAGATAAACTGGATCACATCAAAATTTAAAACTTCTGTGCATCAAAGCTTGCAATCAACAGAGTGAAAAGACAAGTCACAGAATGGGAATAAACATTTGCAAATCACGTATCTGACATATCCAGAAAATACAAACAACTCAACAAAAAAAACCAAACCTGATTAAAAAAAAGACATGGGGCTGGACACTGTGGCTCATGCCTGCAACCCCAGAACTTTGAGAGGCCGAGACAGAAGGAGTGCTTAAGCCCAGGAGTCTAAGACCAGACTGGAAAACACAGTGAGACCCTGTCCCAACAAAATGAAAAAGAAAAAAAAAATTGGCTGGGTGTCATGGTCTGCACCTATAGTCTCAGCAGGCTGAAGCAGCTGAGGCAGGAGAACTGCTTGAGTCTAGAAGGTTGAGACTGTAGTGAGACAGGATTGTACCACTGTACTTCAGACTGGGTAACAGAGAGACCCTGTCTCTTAAAAAAAAAAAAAAAGACATTTCTCCAAAGAAAATATATAAATGGGCAAGAAGCACATGAAAAGATGCTCAACGTCACTAGTAATCAGGGAAACACAAACCAAAACCATAATAACATACACCTCACACTCATTAGGGGGTCTCTCATTGTCAAAACAAAACAAAAAACAAAATAATAGGTGTTGGTGAGGGTATGGAGATTAGTAAGTGCTGGTGAGGATGTGGAGCGATTAAAACCCTTGTGCATTGTTGGTGGTAATGTAAAATGGTGCAGCCACTACAGTAAACAGTATGGTGGGTTCCTCAGAAACTTGAAAATAGAAATATCATTTGATCCAGCAATTCTACTTCTGGGTGTATATTCGAAAGAACTGAAAGCAGCATCTTGAAGAGATATTTATACATCCATGTTCATAGCAGCATTATTCAGAATAGCCAGAAGGTATAAGCAACCCGTATGTCCATCCACAGATGAATGGATAAACAAAATATAGTATATACATACACTGGACCATTATTCAGCCTTAAAAGAAGAAATCCTAGGCCAGGCGTGGTGACTCATGTCTGCAATCCCAGCACTTCGGGAGGCCGATGCAGGCGGGTCACTTAAGGCCAGGAGTTGGAGACCAGCCTGGCCAACATGGTGAAACCCTGTCTCTACCAAAAAATACCCAAATTAGCCGGGTGTAGTGGCTCGCACCTGTAGTCCCAGCTACTCAGGGAGGCCAGGGTGGTAGAATTGCTTGAACCCGAAGGCAGAGGTTGCAGTGAGCCAAGATCACGCCACTGCACTCTAGCCTGGTGACAGAGTGAGACCCTGTCTCAAACAAAAAAAGAAAAAGATATCCTGTCACATGCTATAACATGGATGAATCTTGAAGACATCATACTAAGTGAAATAAGCCAGACACAAAAAGACAAATACTATATGATTCCACTTATAAGAGGTACCTAGAGTAGGTGAATTCACAAAGACAGAAAGTAGAATGGTGATTGCCAGGGGATGGGAAGTTGTTACTTAATGGGTACAGAATATCAGTTTGGGATGATGTAACAGGTGTGGAGATAGACAGTGGTGATAGTTTGTACCACAATGTGAATGTACTTAATGCCACTGAACCATACATTCAAATGGTTAAAGCATTAAATTTTATATTATGTCTTTTACCAGAATTCTAAAAAATTCTATATTCAGAAAGGCCTCTGAGGCCGGGCGTCGTGGCTCACACCTGTAATCCCAGCACTTTGGGAGGCTGAGGCAGGTGGGTCACCTGAGGCCAAGATTTCAAGACTAGCCTGGGCAACATGATGAAACCCTGTCTCTACAAAAAATATAAAAATTAGCTAGGTGTGGTGGCGTGTGCCTGTAGTCCTAGCTACTCGGAGACTGAGCTGGGAGGATCACTTGACCCTGAGGGGCAGAGGTTGCAGTGAACCAAGAGTGCGCCACTATGTTCCAGCCTGCGTGACAGAGTGGGATCCTGTCTCAAAAAAGAAAAAAAAAGAAAGAAAGAAAAGAAAAAAGAAAAAGAAAGAAAAGAAAAAAAGAGAAAGGCCCCTGAGAAACAAGGGAAAAGAATTAATGACCAAAAAACTGACAGTTTTCTTGCTAAACTTTCACAAACTTTGACAGTCTATGTAATCTTGCCAGATAATTGAAGTAAAAAGCTTGGATATCAAGTTGACTCAGGAGAAGAAAAAAAAAAAAAAAAGGAAAAAAAAAAAACCCCTGGCTTTACCATTGGCTGTTGTGCTGTATTTTTGATTCTTCATCTGTTAAGTAGGAAGGAAAAGGTCTCAGGAAGCTGTCAAAATGAATAAACTACACTATGCAATCTGGGTCCCTCAGAAGTGTCAAGCAAATGCAATTACTGGTTAGCATCCCAAATCTAAAAATCAAAAATCTGAAATACTCCAAAATCCGAAACTTTTTGAGCACCAACATTATGCTCAAATGAAATGTGAAATGGAGCAGTGAGGATTTTGGATTTTGATATTTCGGATGCTCAACTAGGGTAAGTACAAGGCAGATATTTCAAAACTGGAAAAAATCCAAAATCCAAAACACTTCTGGTCCCAAGCACTTGAGATAAGAGATACTGCACCTGTACTGCTATTTCCTATTCCTCCTTCCTCTCCCCATCTTACCTTTGAGAGATAAGCATCCATGTTCTCATGTGTAATGGATGGATCTGTGACAAATTCAAAGAGCTCCCGCACAGTCATGACAGCAACACTGTGCCTCATAAAGAAATCTGTCAGAAGGAAAAACGTTAATGACAGCTTTTATGAGGAAAAATATTATTATTCCAACTACCTTATAGAGAAACAAGGAGATAAAATTACATACCATCTCCCAGCAAATGGTTTAAGCATCACTGCACCAAACAATTTAGTGAGAAAATTTTACGCCAACAGCTTAACTGAGTACAAAACCAAAACAGACCAATGAGCTGTTTCGAAAATTGCCGTTTCTACTCACCATTGACGTTGGCGCAATCCTTTCTCAAGAACTCCAAGGCATGTGGGTGGTCGTGCTCCACGGACTGAGACACGTCAATGATATACACGCCTCCACCGTGGTACCTATGGGCCAGAGACACAGAAGCTGTGGGATGGTATTACTTTACTATGTTTTTCGTTTAAAATAAATTCTACTCTTAAAAGCAAGGGAAGTAGCTCACAAAATCACCAAGGTAGATAAGATGAGGCAATCTTGACTAACAGATGGAACTGGGAAAATTTCCAAAATCCATTCACTGTTAATGATCCAAGCAGTCAATTCGGTGACTAAGGTCACTGAAAAAAGGAATCCTATCTTATACCATTTGGAAGTCAACAATAAAACTTCAGAAGTTAGTGTGACTTCTTGGATTGGGATTTTGTTTATCATTTTAAAGGACACGAAACAACTGACAGGCAGTTCTTAAGAGACAAAATACACTCACAGCATGTTAAATTCACTGAGATCTGCATGGACAAGTCTGGCATCCTGATACATTCTTCTCATGTACTGAATGACCTGCAGGTACAACTCCCGAGCCTTGGATTCTGATAACTGGACATTTTTCAAGAGTGGTGCAGGCCTTGAATGAAAAGAACTAAGATAAAATGACCAAGAACAAGTTTTCTTGCTTCTTACTATACTGTTACATGCCCTTCTCTTCTACAACTCATCATGTGAGCTGTATGTGGGACAATCTGTCTCAATGCACATAAACCAAGAAGGTACCGGCAAATAGATGCTTTCCCAACACACTGTATAAGACCACCCTCCAACACAGGACTAACTTGCTCCTCATTCTGAAGCATTTTCAGACTTGAAAAGGTAGAATACATTGATAACACTTATTCACTAATATAGTGGGAAAGATTAATAAGTTATTCAAATGGGAAATATTCATATAGTGGATAAACTCAAAGAACTTAAAAATACAGTTCTGAGAATGCAATTATTAGCCCTTCCATGTACTTACATGTCATCTTTACCGATGAAACTCATGACAAGAACATGACTTCTTAGCATTATTGGTTCTGGACATGGTATCTCTGCTGTGTTTAGCCTGTGATATTATAACAAATAAAAGGACAACTGAAAAGTTGAAAAGGCATCTAAATAAATTACAACTGCAGGTCCCAAGATTAATATTGCTGTTAAGAAATAGCACCAAGGCCTCTCAAATGTATTATAATATTTCATAAACTCTAAGATTATTTTAAGTGGCACCATTATGTACCACCGAGAATGATAAAACACTAGCAATTCAACTATTACATCCCATAACCTGTAATACCCAAAGCAATTCCAGAGATGTTAAACTGAAAAAAATGTGCATCTTACAATGGAGGAAATAGAGGAGATAGGTCCACAAGTATCTTTTGTGTTGAATAGCCTGAAAAATGCTTAATAAAAATAGTTGGACTCACACCTAATAGCTTGTTGAACACAAAAGACTTTCAAAACGAGTAGTACTTGCTCAATACTACACTATCCAATGTGTCACCTGTGTACACCATATAAAAAGTTATAAGACATTTTTTAAAACTCCATAATTTTCAGGAAACTTGATCTCAACTAGATGAGGCCTTTACCTGATAAAAAGGTGTTAGTGCAAACAAAGAATATAAAAAAAGTGTCCAAAACTGGACTAAGAAAAGGAAACTATGATAAACAAAGAGTTCACGACCTAACAAGATTAGTCGAAAACTCCAATACCTACGAAAACATGACAGAGCATTATAACCATCTGATTGTGTCACTTTCCTGATTAAAATCCTTTAGCAGTTCCTTATTATCCTCAGTATAAATTCTAAACATTTTCAATGGCTTACAAGGCCTTCCAAATGATCTAGCTTCGTGGAATAAATATGAATTGTGGCAGTATTCTTTTGAAATGGATTCTCAGAATAGAAAACAACAGAATAGGAAACAATCTCTATTTGTCCAGACATGTGTTTCTTCTGCTTACTTCAGCAGACCTAATAGAAATAAAGGCCCTAACAAGTCCCTACATTTGGGCAGAACCACACTGGGATCTGCTGGGAGGAAGGGCTGATGTTCATGTACAGGGCATAGGACAGACATACACACATCCCAGACAGTCACCTGATTAAGTTCCTCATTTCTTTTTCTGCCCAAGTTTTCACCATTTTCCTAGGGTTTCCTTTACAATAGCCATGACGAAATCTTGAATAAGAAAAATGTTTATTATTTCAATCATTCCATTATTATTTTAATGTTTTAGGAAATAGAAATTAAACCAACTGGAGGGAAAAATCTGAACTTACCTGAATTCTCCACTTACATATTTATCCCGATCTTTGAACACCAAAATAGAAGTTTTATAAATTTTGATTGCTCTGCTCTCTCCATTTGCTGTGCTAGCATGGTATACATTAGCCTATATTAAGTCAAAAAAAAAAGAAAATGAAGTTTATGTTAAATAACCACTTTTTCAATCTATTTGATTCTAACCTCAAAAGTCAAGTGAACTGAAATAACATGCATAAGGAATACCACTGTCTTTTGAATATGTGAATTAAAATGTAAAACATTACATCAAAAGGACAGTAAACATAGCTCCAATATACAAATACAGTCACGTGCCACATAACGTTTTAGTTACTGACAGGTGACAGACCGCATATATGAGGTGATTCCGTAAGACTATAACAGGTATTTTTACTGTACTTTTTCTATGTTTAGATAGATAAATATTTACCATTGTCTTACAATTGTTACAGTATTCAGTACAGAAACCTGTTGTACAGATTCGGAACTACCGTATAGCCTGAGAGTGCAGTAGGCTATACTATCTAGGTTTGTATGAGTATGCTCTATAATGTTCTTCGCATAATGACAAATTTGCCTAATGATGCATTTCTCAGAAAGTATTCCCTTCATTAAGCAATGCAAGACTGTACAGTAAAATCCAATTTAAATATAGGGGAGAAGTGGTTTCAAACTTTTTTATATCTCAAGTATATGCAAAATAATTAAAGACATTCTTAAATCCAGTGATTTAGGCAAGGCGTGGAGGCTCATGCCTGTAATAGCAGCACTTTGGGAGGCCAAGGCGGGTGAATCACTTCAGGCCAAAAATTTGAGACCAGCCTGGTCAACATGGCAAAACCCTGCCTCTACTACAAATACAAAAATTAGCTGAGTGTGGTGGTGCACGCCTGTAGTCCCAGCTATTCGGGAGGGTGAGGCAGGAAAATTGCTTGTACCCGAGAGGCAGAGGTTGCAGTGAGCTGAGAACATGCCACCACACTCTAGCCTGGGAGACTGTCTCAAAAAAAAAAAAAAAAAAAGACTCTGTTTAAAAAAAATTTAAAAATCCAGTGATTTATAAGTTGAATTTTACTGAGAATTGCTTCCAGCAGAATGGGTTTTACACTTTTAAATAATTGCTTTAAAAAAAAAACAAAAACAGAAACTATATTGAGCCACAACACTCACATATATTTATTAGCTGGCCCTTTCAAGAGCCTGCAGACCCCTGCCATTATAGCTGAGTAAATCACAGTAAGAGTTTCCTTCAAGCTGGAGTAGTCAATTTTGAGTCAAAAGGATTTCAGAGTCTTCTCTAACAAACAGAAGGCAGTATACCCGTAGGTAAAGAAAAAAATAAGAAAGACTTGCTGACTCATAGAAACATAACCATAAACCCCTGGCCCCATGAGTAATTTATTTTATTAGAACTCAGGCCTGTAATAATCTGACCATCTCACTCACTACTGGGCACAACTAGTTAGACTCAATGATCCAATGCAGCAGCGGTAGTGAAAAGGGCGTAGTTATATGTACAACTTCCTCTCTAACCATGAATATTAATGTGTATGGCTTTGTTTTTCTTTCTTCTTAAAGGCATAATGTAGTTCTAAGTGCCAGTTTCATCTGGTATCTGAAATAAGAAAATTAAATATCCAATCATCCAAAGAAGAGCTCACTTCTTTTCCTGTGCTAATGCAGCCATTTATCTCTGTTATGATTCCTCTAGTCAACATCTTGAATAAAATCATTCTTGTTCTGGGATCCAACACCTAAAAAGAAATGCAAAAATTAAAAAGTTCCAAAAGACGGTACCAAATTTTCCTCATTAAAACCTGTGACAATCAATAAACAGCAGAGCTTAACTGTACGACGCTATCCTGGTTGACTAAATGAGAGTCACTATTTGGTGCTTTTATTCACTCTAATTGTTAATCAGTAAAATGTCAGGTAAAGGCCAAAGGAACCAAAGGCAAAACCAACTAGCAAGTTCATCCAGTCATGGAAATCAAAGGCAACCAAGTTCAAGAGAAACAGAACTCTAGGCTATTAGCTAATAGAAGTATAATGCAAACTACATAAATAGTATTACATTGTTCTAGTCACTACACTGAAAGTAAACAGAATCAGGTGAAATTATCTTAATATATTTTATTTAACTCAAAATATCTAAAACGCTATCATTTCAACCTGTATCAATATAAAAAGTCATCAGTGAGATAATCCTTGTTTTTGACACTAAGTCTCCAAACTCCGGTGTCTTTTGCATTTAAAGCACATCTCAATTCAGACTGGCCACATCTCAAGTGCCCAGTGGCTACCGTCGTGGACAGGCAGCTGTAAATCAGGGGTCAGCACTCTCCGGCCCATGGACCAAATCAGACCACAGCTTGTTTTTCCTTAGCTTGCAAGTTAAGAATGGGTTTTACACTTTTAAATGATTGCTTTGAAAAAAAATCAACAGAAACTATATGTGAGCCACAATGCTCACACATATTTATTAGTTGGCCCTTTCAAGAGTCTGCAGACCCCTGCCATTATAGATTAGTAAATCACGGTAAGCATTTCCTTCAAGCCAGAATAATCAATCTTGAGTAAAATGGATTTCAAAGTCTTCTCTAACAAACAGAAGGCAGTGAATTTAAAGGCTGTTCTTGTTTATCTCTGAAACTAAAGCAGCCAAATATTTGTATGCAATTTCTAAGGATACCAACCAATAACTCCTTGTGGCTCAGGCAGGCCCTCTAGCCCCCATGGGGTGAGACGGTATTATAAACTAGCCAAACTCAACTATACTTTAGGGTCCACCTTCAATGAAGTGGCTGGGGTCACACCACAAACCTAAGGTTAATATAAACAAAACCACCTGGGAAGACTATAGGACTAAAAACCAAATCACGACCATTGCAACTAGAGAAGAATGAAAAGGCACTAGTTTCCATTTCTTCTCTACTGCACAGGTAAGCAAAGAGGGGAAGTCAGCTGGCTGAGTATGGGCCTCTAGGTACAGAACTGTGCTTCTGCGAAGTTGGCAGTTAGACAAGTCAGGGGCATAGGAAGAAGTAACAAACCAGATGGCTTAAGAACAAAACAGGGAAAGAGAAATGATAAATTTACACACAAGCATATATTTTATATAGACAGCTGAAGACTCCAGCTATGTACTCTATCATTCAAAATTAATTTTGAAAGAGAAAAAGAATTTCCTGCCAAAAATAACCCTAAAGTTATTTAGGGTCTTTGAAACTTAAGGCTATCTCATTTTTCCGAGGTGAACCATACTTTGTTTTCAATTACAGAAATAAATCACAAAATAAACTAGGGGACAATGAAGACACAGACCACAGACCCGGCTTCTGTCTAATGGTGGAATTCAGAACATGTGCTTGTGTATATGGGAGGGGGTGGTGGAAAGGAGTGGTAGGTGGCAGAGGCAAATGTTCTGACTCTTTTTATCACTTTCTTCACATCAAAAATCTGGGCCAAGGCTAATATCCAATCACATTCTTCGGAATGTGGGAAAATTAGGGGCCAATTTTTCCCCATTCTTGAATAGAAAGAATAAAACAAGCATAATTTCTAAACAAAGGATTCCTAACTGGAAATTTGAAGACATTATCTGCCCCTCTCTCTTTTACACCCACACTTCCTGCTTTGTGGCAGATACCCTACCTATCTTCTGGGAAAGCTCACAAAATTCCTACGGACCTTTTCTAAAAGATTGCTGGTCTGATAATCTCTCCAAGAAGGGAAAGCATCGCATGGTGGCTCTGCAAGGCCACTGAAGGACCATGACTCTAATTCATCCAATAGTCCTATAAAAGCAAGATGTAGGTCTCTAAACTCGAAACTATAAAAAGGAATAATTTTATATAGGAGTAATTTTAGGTAACATTAGCATTAAGCAAAAAGGATAAAAGCAAACTACAATTCAAAGAGAGAAGAAATGCTAATTAAAAAGAAGAGTTTGCAACACATTTAAATTGTACCTGTTCTACAGTTGCTCTGTCTGCCTTATCTTTGATGCGATACCTAACCAAAAACAAAAACGTATAGTTGACACATTCAAAATTCAGTGAGAAGCCAAAATCTTCTAAATGTAGATAATTTCATGAAAATTCCTAAGTAGGTAGTTTCTCTAAATAACAGATTTTATGATATGATTGTAGATTTTTCATTACTCAGTGAAACTTTCTTCATTTCCCCTGAATACCAAAATTCAATTCTGTATTTTGGCAAAAGGAGTATGTATACAGTAAAAAGAAAAATCTATTCCTATTTCAGAAGCATCAAAGAGCCGCCAGGGTAAAGTGAACTATGCTGAAAAAGAGAAAACATTGAGTATATTTGTACTGTCCTTCACATCTTTAATGATTCTGTTAGCACACAATTAAAGTCTTGTCTTCTTTTTTTTTTTTAAAGAGACAGCATCTTACTATGTTGCCCAGGCTAGGCATAGACTCCTGGGCTCAAGTATTCCTCCTGCCCCAGCCTCCACATAGAGTTAGTCATTTACAAGGCTTTCTGTTTAGAGGCATTTTCTAAGAAGATACAAGTTTTTTTGTTTTTGTTTTTGTTTGTTTGTTTTGAGATGGAGTCTCGCTCTGTCGCCCAGGCTGGAGTGCAGTGGCACGATCTCGGCTCACTGCAAGCTCTGCCTCCCGGGTTCACGCCATTCTCCTGCCTCAGCCTCCCGAGTAGCTGGGACTACAGGCGCCCGCCGCCAAGCCCGGCTAATTTTTTTGTATTTTTAGTAGAGACAGGATTTCACCTTGTTAGCCAAGATGGTCTCGATCTCCTGACCTTGTGATCCGCCCGCCTCTGCCTCCCAAAGTGCTGGGATTACAGGCGTGAGCCACTGCACCTGGCAGTTTTGTTTTTTAAAATCGTTTCAAGACAGTATTCAAATGCAGACTCTGATTTGCTTCTGCTTATACACTGAGTGACTCCACCTAGCACACTAACCTAAACTAATAAAGGTTTAAACACAAAGATTCAAACAGATACCAGTGAAATAACAAATAACTATGGTGTATCTCAAAAAGCTGATACCTCTTGGACATAGCAATAAATTGGAAGAAAGCTGGCTTTTACGTTCAATTCTCACAGTTAGTTGTATGATCTTAGTGTCGTTTTCTATAATATAGTGATAATACTTTAGAGTTATTAGCATATAAGAGAAGTTATTCAGATCTTAAACAATTGGCTTTGAGAACAGAAGTGTAAACAGAAACAGTTCTCAGTTATATCATTAGTTCATAGTCTTCCCTTAAATTTTTAAAAATACTTCATGGGAAAGAATAATTCTTAATAAATTTTAAGGGAACATTTTTGCACATTTTAGTTTAAACTGAAATCTACAAACACTGTTCCCCTCATAAGAACACATTTGTAAATTTCATGAGATTACACTTTTACCATGTATTTCTTAAAATTCATTAATTTTTATTTTATGTATTTATTTTTGAGATGGAGTCTCGCTCTGTGGCCCAGGCTGGAGTGCAGTGGCACGATCTTGGCTCACTGCAACCTCCACCTCCCAGGTTCAAGAGATTCTCACACCTCAGCCTCCTGAGTAGCTGGGATTACAGGCGTGCACCACCATGTCTGGCTAATTTTTGTATTTTTTGTACAGACATGGTTTCACCATGTTGGCCAGGCTGGTCTCAAACTCCTGGCCTCAAGTGATCCCCACAGCTCGGCCTTCTGAAGTGATGGGATTACAGGCATGAGCCACCACACCCAGCCAAGATTCATTAATATTTTTAATTCACAAAGGCATAGGTTATCCTAATTTAAGCTAAGGAAAACACACACACACACACACACACACACACCAAAATAATGATTGGTTTAAGTATACAAATGAACATCCTCTGTAAAAGAATTATGATCAAGGTGCTGCTTAATCTAGATTAGTCCTTATCACCCATGCATATTATTAAAATATTACTTACATATCTGCTTCCTTTTGTCTAGACTTTTCGGTGACTTTATTTATGACGGAATCAGTAACATTTAGCTTATCTAAAATACAAGAAACCCACAATGTAAACAATATGTAAGACGAAAAGACATTAACAGAGTTGCTGAACAGGGTATTTCTCCCCTCTTCCTTCTCTTCTACACTTTCTAAATGTTTTATTGTAAATAGAATACAGTTTAGTAATGAAAACAATGTAATGTTTTTAAAAGTAGGCACTAAACTGCGTTTCCTTCGTAAGTGTCACTTTCATCACTACAGCTATAATATTTGAGCCACAGAATTCTAGATGCAGAAATTCTTCAAAGATAATAATTTGCATAATAAATTTCAGACACTTGCTAGTACTCCACATGACTAATAAAACTGCCTGAATTTCAAGTTTAATTCTAAAAACTTGTTTCACTTCAAGTTATAAGTCTATGATAGGCAAAGAAGGCCCTAAAATACTTATATTAATTTAGCATGTATTGACAGCTTATATGAGAAACACTGTGTTAGGTTTAGAGTGAAGATCCACAAGAATAGAAAGATGGCCTTCCTTCCTTCCCTCCATCCCTCTTACATTTTCTATGAGATGATGATTCAAATTAACATTCTGATGCCTGGCATCGAACAGGTCACTAAATAATTAACACCTACACAAAAAACCTCTAGTGAAACCGTATGTAACTATATTCAATACTCTAGTATTTTCAACATCCTACTATGAGATAACCCTATTACAAAATCTAAAACAGGCCAGGCGCAGTGGCTCACACCTGTAATCCCAACATTTTGGGAGGCTGAGGCGGACAGATCACTTGAGCTCAGGAGTTCAAAACCAGCCTGGTCAACATGGAGAAACCCCGTCTCTACAGAAAATAAAAATTGGCCGGGTGTGGTGGTGTGCACCTGTGGTCCTAGCTACTTGGGAGGCTAAGGTGGGAGGATCGTCTGAACCCCAGAAATCAGGGTTGGAGTGAGCCAAGATCGTGCCACTGCACTCTAGCCTGGGTGACAGAGTGAGACCCTGTCTCAAAAAAAAAAAAAACCTAAAACCGAACAGACAATACTTAAATGGGTTTTTGTAACATTACATTCCTATGGCAAGTGGGAAAACAACCAAAATAGCATAAGCTTAAGTCTTTTCCTAAAGTTATGTTTTTAAATTACGATTTTTATTTTCTCTAAACATTATTGAGTTAGTAACACTTGAATACATTCATTCCTTTTTTCTTTTTTTTTTTTTTTGAGATGGAATTTTGCCCTTATTGTCCAGGTTGGAGTGCAACGGCACAATCTCGGCTCATCACAACCTCCACCTCCCAGGTTCAAGGGATTCTCCTGCCTCAGCCTCCCAAGTAGCTGGGATTACAGGCATGTGCCACCACGCCCAGCTAATTTTGTATTTTTAGTAGAGATAGGGTTTCACTATGTTGGTCAGGCTGGTCTCAAACTCCTGACCTCAGGTGATCCACCCACTTCAGCCTCCCAAAGTGCCGGGATTACAGGCGTGAGCCACCACGGCCAGCCTTCATTTCT
The DNA here is from genome assembly GCF_000001405.40 of Homo sapiens. Lineage (NCBI taxonomy): Eukaryota > Metazoa > Chordata > Mammalia > Primates > Hominidae > Homo > Homo sapiens. The sequence continues at coordinate 7,395,222 of NC_000006.12, read as the reverse complement.
TGATCTAATAAAATTATACAACACTCCATGGTTTTTGAAAAATGTCCTCTTAGCCCAGTGATGTATTTTGTAAACTCACCTAAATTAATTTTATTCTCAAATTTCCGTAAGACCTTGTCTGCTGGAGTAGACATTTTGGCTGAACTGCTGTCGGAGGTCTGTCGATTTGCCTAGAAGGGAATTCCAGAGTCTAAGGCACTAGCTGTAAAAACAAACCTAAGATTCATCATCACATTTCCTTAGTTCATACTTAGCTATTAAAGCATCAATACTTAGAGGAGTATCTTAAGGAAAGGTAAGAGTCAATCAAATTGGCTCAAAAAATTTTTTAAAGAGCATTTGAAACAGAAGGTTAAAATTACTGACTAAAAGAGTCTGCATAATCCGTTTTTTTAACTTCTCTATGATTCCTCTTATTATAAGTAACAGATTAAAATTAAGTGTAGTTTTCTAATTTGACTGGTTTATAGACTTAAAATTTGAGAATGTTCATTTACCCCCAAAGTATATAATAAAGAGCTAAGACCAGCATTAAGCTGGTTCAGAATTTCATTTTGGGCCCAATGTCTCAAGAGAGGGAAATATTAAGTACGAGGCTCAGCACTTACGCTGGTGCTATGCGCAAACTTCAATAATGAAATTGCTCAAAGCCTCATTATGAATCAGTGAAGGAGTCACCAGAACAAGACGATATAAAAATGCAAAATTTGTCGTCACTCACAATGTGGTTATTTTAAAATGCACACATTCTGGTCCATGATATAGCCATTTTATTGTTGTTGTTTTTTACAGACAGAGTCTCGCTCTGTTGCCCAGGCTGGAGTGCAGTGGTGTGATCTTGGCTCACTGCAACCTCCGCCTCCTGGGTTCAGGCGATTCTCCAGCCTCAGCCTCCCGAGTAGCTGGGATTACAGGCACCCACCACCACGCCCGGCTAATTTTTGTGTTTTTAGTAGAGACAGGGTTTCGCCATGTTGGCCAGGCTGGTCTCAAACTCCTGATCTCAGGTGATCCGCCCAGCTCGGCCTCCCAAAGTGCTGGGATTAGAGGCAGGAGCCACTGCGCCCAGCCGATATAGCCATTTTAATGGTCAAAGGAAGACTGCTGGATTAACCTTTATGCTCCAGGAAGATGTACCATGTTAATCCTATGGCCTTACAAACTCCTAACACACTTGGTACTTCCAGTATGAGCAGCAGCTGTACGTGGTTTGGTAACTTTTTTTTGTACATGGTAAATAATCACAAACATATTCCTATCTCATTAATACAGTCTTCCATTACAACATCTTTTATGGCTGTATAATGCCTCATTGTGCGAATCAGTCCCATAGCAGGTTTAATCCCGTTCAAGGTTGCTTCCAATGTTCCTCTACCATAAACAATCCTGGAGGATCATTCTTGTAACTAAGTCTTGGCACACTCACAGAATCGCTAAGTCAAAGTATTTTGAAGCTTTTAAAGTTTTTATCACATACCAGCTTATCCTACAAGTAAGTGCACCTATTTACTTGACCATCAATGATATGTTTTGTCTTTAACAGTTTCACAGGTGAAAAAACGGCATCTCTACAAATTTAATCTGCATTTCTTTAATTACCAATGAGGCTGAACTTTTTTACCATGTTTCTTAACTATTTGTAGTAAACTGCCAATCCATGCCCTTTCCCATGAAGATTTTAAGCTCACAATCTTTATAACTCTTTTTAAATTTACAGATTCTGGAAAGAATCCACACCCAGGAAATTATCAGAAATACAGAAAGGATGAAAAGTGAAAATCAGTAAAGGCTGAGGCTACAGGACAATATAACATGAAGAAAATCTTTTAGTTATTCAATTTCAGAATCACAAAACAGCCTTTTAAAAAAGTAGACATAAGCAGACTACATAAAGATGTGCAGGATCCTTTATAAAATACCTGTGGGTTGCTTCCTCCATTCCAGACATAACCCTTGGCGAGTTTTCCAACTCCTTCATCCCAGTCCCAGTCATCATCATCATCGTCATAACCCTCCTCCTCCTCATCTTCTATTTCACCTTCACCATTCTCATTCACATTGTCTTGAAGGTCTTCAAACAGAATGTCATCCTTCTCTTTGACTGTCTTCAAGTCTCTGTTTTCACTAGAAATAACAATGTTTTATTATTTCATAACAATATTTCCACATACCCTAACTGATCTCACATATTTATGATGTAAGATATTAAAATATTGATAAATCTAAAAGATTATATATTTATATAAAATACACCTTCCGATAAGCTCCATCTCCTTAAAACCATGTTCTCCTGTTTTCCAGTTCTGTTGCAGTTGTTTGCTCATTCTCCATGCCCAAAGCCTACTATTCAAGAAGCACATCAAGTTAAATCTGCTTCTGCCTTGTTAAAGTTAGAAATTATATTGTTATCTTCTCTGCTGAATAAACAACTCAGACCAGTATACCAGACTTGACTCTAGGAAAATCATTCGCAGAGCTGCTTTAGAAAATCTCTAGGAAAATCTTTCTGTAAAACAAGAAAAAAGAAAGGGGGAAAAAAGGCTGGTGCAGCGGTTCACACCTTTGATCCCAGCTACTCGGGAGGCTGAGGCCATAGGATTGCTTGAGCCCAGGAGTTCACGGCTGCAGTGAGTCATGATCGTGCCACTGTACTCCAGCTTGGGCAACCCTGTCTCTAAAAAAAATTGTAATTAAAAAAAAAAAAAAGCTTTCTGACAAAAAATTTGGGAATAAGTCTAAGGCAGTCTTACTTTGAACTCGATAACACTTTGCAATAAAAGAAGTTACATCAAGATTTGTGTTCCACAAAGAAATCCAAATCATCCCTGTTCATGATGGGAAGAAATGGTGAATACAGGGACCAGGCACTACAAATGAGAGAAGTAGGCTGCACAATAGAAGTGGGGACTGGCAAACTGGGAGAAGAGGTCCAAGGTAAAGGGAGCACAACCAGTAAGGGCTTTTTTTTTTTTTTTTTTTGCCATATTAGAATTCAGGCCTAGTGTTACCAGATCTTAATTTTTCAAGTGAAGCTGTAAGTCTGGATTTCTGTGTAAAATCTATCCCTTCACTGGCATAGTCAATTTTTACAAATAATTGTGCATACCAAACAAAACATGTCTGCAGGCCAAATTCAACAGAGGACTCAGTTTTTACCTCTCATGTACAGAAAAGGACAGAAACCATAAAAAAGCAGCTGATAATATGAGATACCAGCTGAAAAACAGACGAGTTTAAGTAAATTCAGATTATCAATCCCAATTTATTAATTAGCCATGGCTCTGAGGGTTCCCCGTGGACATGTGGAGGAAGAAAACAGACAATCATCAAACACTTGCTACTTACCAGGACTTCATACATATGCTCCACAGATTGATATATAATTGCCTAGAGTGGCATGTTAAAGTTGTAACTTTGCCAGATAATTCTTCGTTGTGGGGGACTGTCTTCTGCACTGTAGGATTTTTAGCAGCATATCTCTGGCCTCTACTTACCAGATGCCACTAATGTACCACCACCCCCAGCTGTGACATACAAAAACGTCTCCAGAAATTGCCAAAAGTCCCCTGGGTAGAAGTCGGGATGGCAACATCTTCCCCAATGGAAAATCACTGGTGTATCCTTACAATACCCTGGGGTGGATGGTAAATTAGTGCCCTCTCATTACCATTAACTACCCACTAGCTATGCTGGCTGTGTTTCTTCTGCTGCTTTTCTTCTCTAAAGCTTTTTGTACACTTCTCCGTAACCATAAAACTGGAATGCCCTTCCTCTTTCTCTGGCTAACCCCTACTCATCCATCAAGTATCAGCTCACTATCACTTGCTCAAGGAAGTCTTCCCTATTTTTCCCCCACTTCTCCTTTGTACTACTTACCCAATTCGAATACAAATAGTCTAATTATTTAATAATATCGGTTTCCCCTGCTAGGGTGCAAGCTCTGTGTCATTCAGGATGGTATTTACCAATGCCTCCCTACCACCTAAGACTAGATCTGACTCACAGAAAGCATTCAACATACATATATTTATTGAAAACATCCCCAATAATTAACAAAATCCGCATGTGATGAATCCTTACTGTAAACATAAAGTACAAGCTGTTTTCTTGGAATTCCAAAATAACTCCAATATGTTTCATTTTGCTTTTAGGCAGGAGTTATCCTTCATCCCTCTTTCCCCAGACTCCACGTCCAGTCTACCACCAAACGCTGCCACTTCTACCTCCAAGACATATCTTTAGGATCTGGGCTCTAGTCCCCACCATCTTTGAATCTGATTACCTTATTATTTTTGAACTGGTCTCTCTGTTCCACTCCCACCCTCCATGAACATCATCTACCTAGAAAGAATGATTCCTTTAAATCACCAAGCAAATAATGTCATTCTTCTGCTAAAATCCCTCCTATGGCTTTCCATAAGACCCACATTAATATCTGAACTTTTCACCATCACTTGTAAAGGTCTCCATGATCTGGCCCCCCTTCTTACTTCTCTATCACCCTACCAATCTTCTCAACTACCTCCACTGTGCTCTAGGCACTCTGGCCTCGGGGCCTTTGCTCTTGCTGTCCCTTCTGTGTGAAATGCTGTTCCCTCTGCTCTTGCCAGGATTAGCTCCTTGTCATTCAAATCTGGACTTAACCTTTCCCTACCCATTCAGTCACCACTTGGTATATCAAACGATTTGCATAGTCTACATCATTATTTGGTTTTTAAATGGTGTGCCCTCTCTTTCACGTAGAAGGTAAAGTTCCATGACAGCAGGAAGTTGGTTCTTCTTGTTACCTCCGGCGCCCAGGACAGAACGTGGTACATATTAAGTGCTTAGTAAGTATTTGTTGAACGCTAAATGTGGTTAAAACGCAAAAACCCATGTTTCCTAATCGCTATCCCCAACTCTGCCTCCCAGTGACGCTAACCGACCTGAGAACCGCAGACTCCCTTGACAAGTAGCTTTCACTTAACTCTGCCGCGTGAACTGGGAGAAAAACCCAGCTGGGATGCAGAAACAGGCAAAGGGTTGTCAAGAGAGACGCTGAGTGATGAACCACTAGTCTCCCTCTAAACCGCAAACAAGAGTCCACACCCCAAGGGGGCGGTCAAGGAGAGAGCCGTACCCAGAGCCAGGGCACTGTACGGCCGCCTACCTGTCAGAGGAGTCCGCGTCGTCGAATTGCCCGGGGACCACCCGGCTCATGAGAAGCCGCCGGTAGTCCATGACTGGAGAGCGCCGCCGGAGGCCGCCGCTCTGCGATGGAAAGGAACGGCTCAGACGGATGTACCCACGGCCGATCCAAAGGCCTTGGCGTGGATATCCGCCTTGCAAACCATTCAGAAGCCAACAGTGGCCACCACGTGCGACGGGAAAACGGGACCGACAGATCCACCACCCTGCCACCCCAACCGGAAGCCCCTCACCGCCTCGCCCGGAAGTCTGACTTGAGCGGAAGTCCCGCCCCTGCGCCGAGCTGGGAGTCCGGAGCTCTCTGGATGGCGCGCTGTATAGGGCTGTGGATGTTCTGTGCTCTCAGGAAGGCGTGTTGAGTAGCCGGCACGGCGAGGCCCGTGCTGGCCGTTTCTTCCCGGAGTTTTCGTTTCTGTACCCCACTTTGTGTTTACTGCGGCAGGAGGCGCCAGCTAGCCCACAGGCTGTTCGGCCTAGGGGGTCGTACCTTCCTAACTTCACCACTCTCTGGGAAGACACCGCACCCACAGTAGGGTCGCTCGGGCCTCGCGGGCTGCACCTGTCTCTGCGGAGTTCCCCCGGCGCGGGCGGACGTCACACAGGGGCGTTCCAGCACTCCGGGAGCCCGATTGCGAGTTTGTGAGAGTCCTTGGTGGAGGAGGTTGGAAAGCGTTCTCCCTCCCACAAAACCCGGTGCAGAGGGAGGGAGAGCCAGGTCCGTAGCGTGGGTCCAAGAAACTATGGATCCTGGAAGTGAGCACACTTTTGTGTCTTAAAAAGTTTGGTGTCTCGTTTTGAGGTGAAAAATGAATGAGATAAGTGCTTTTTAAAAAGGTAAAGTTTGTCTTACAACTGAAAAAGCTTTTAAACAAAACTATAGTTTTTGCGAGTAACTCCCGTGACACCTCTTTTAACTCCTATCTTAAAACAGCTTTAGAATGTCTCTGGAACATCTATTCAAACATTTGATAAATATGTTAAAAATCCAACATAAACCTGTAAGGACAAATGAAAGATGGAAAAAATAGTCTAACTTTAAATTAAAAAGGTAAACTGGCAGATTGTGCAGTGCCACATGAGGGATGAACAAAGTTGTAGAAATGTAATTGGAAGTGCTGGGTTCACAAACAAGAAAACTAAGAAACAAGGCCTTTGCGCTTTTTTGCATTGGGAAAACAAAGCAAGAATTTTTCAGATCTCACCACAATCCAGGCAGCATTATTTGAAAGACAAGGGAGAAGTGAGCATAAAGTTGGGCCTTTCACTGATCCTGACTGGTCTGCTTGGCTTACTTTTTTATATTTTACCAAGTGATGACATAGGTTTGAAAACAACTAATTTTCAATAAACTATTCATTCAGAAATTCAATAAAAGAATCCAGGCAGATGAGTAATGACTATAAATTGAAAGAGCTTGATAGAAATAAGTCATTGGAATGCAGGTTTTATTCAATCAATATTTGCTGTGTAGACAGCACTGGTCCATTTGCAGTAGGGGATATTGGAAAGCCCTAAGTATGCTCCTCTCAAGACATTTATGATCTGTAAACACAAACACTAACACCCTTGAAACAGTGGTGAAGCTCTAAAACAGTAAACGAAATCACCAAGTGCTGAATTGTAAGATAGAGATTTAGAGACTGAAGACATTGTAGGAATTTTGAAAATAGATGAATGGGTAGATGGGAAGGTTTTAGGAGAGAAGCACGTGCCAGGGCAGATGACTGAAGCTTAATTCGTAAGGAACATTATCTGTCTGCAGGGAAATGAGCCTGATCTGAGTAGAGCAGGGGAGTACCGGGTAGGGGATGTCACTCCAGGCTATGGATGGCCTGGAAGGACAAAAATTTATAGAATCAATGTGAGTGGCCATCCTTTCCACTCTCAGCTCTGGAGCTCTGGACAGGCCTGAGGAAGTCAGGAGAATATGGACCAGTGTGGCAACATGGGATGGAAAGAAAGCACAGGTTACTGAAAGACTTTTTTTTTTTTTTTTTTTTTTTGAGATGGAGTCTTGCTCTGTCACCCAGGCTGGAGTGCAGTGGGCCATCTCGGCTCACTGCAAGCTCTGCCTCCGGGGTTCACGCCATTCTCCTCCCTCAGCCTCCAGAGTAGCTGGGACTACAGGCACACGCCACCGCGCCCAGCTAATTTTTTTTTTTTTTTTTTTTTGTATTTTTAGTAGAGATGGGGTTTCACCGTGTTAGCCAGGATGATCTCGATCTCCTGACCTCGTGATCCGCCCGCGTCGGCCTCCCAAAGTGCTGGGATTACAGGCGTGAGCCACCGCGCTCGGCCCTGAAAGACATTTTTAAAGGAGACATGGACGGGACTTGGTATCTGAATAGCCATGCATGATGAGGTAGAGGGATGCCAAGACAAGTCCAGTTTTCAAACACATGTACCTGAGGGAATAGGCGCAGTATAGGAAAGTGAGGAGGGAAAACAGTTACAATGCTGGGTTTGACTTGGTAGTGAGGTGTTCAAGTGGAAGGTATCAAGTAAATAAAAATCCAGGATTTTGTGGAAACTATTAGGTCTCTGATAATATTTTGTAAATATCCTTGATTAAATAACACAGAGATCCCTTCACTTCTAGGTCCAAAGCCTTCTAGGGAGTTATTGGATAGTAGCCAATACTGTTTGTTTTTCTCCAAATCAGTATTTACTACCATACCAAATTACGGTATACTCAGACTAAAATTTTTAATTTTTCTAATAACTTGACAAATGACATTTCAAATAAGGGCAGTGAACTTTGCTACTTTCTTAATGAGAAGAGGGATAGGGAAAAAACTTTTTGTTTATACCTACTAATAGACACATTTTTTTTTTAAAGAAGTCTTCTATTGTTCAACAGTTATGAACAAGGACTATCAAAAATTTTGGTCATCACCTTCAGATCCTGTACATTTTGAAGTGGATACTTCTCATGAAAAAGTAGAAAGCATGTCAGAATCGGATACCATGAATGTCAGCAATCTTTCTCAAGGTGTAATGCTTTCACATTCTCCAATCTGTATGGAAACCACCGGCACCACTTGTGACTTGCCTCAGGTGTGCATTGCTTATAAGTTCCAGGAGGCTCAGATGTATTCAGAATTCACATTGTCTTCCATATGAAAATTTCTTCAAAACTATAAGGAACAATAAAACAATATTCGGTGGACACATAAAGGAGGGGAATACAGGGTCTGGTTTTCCCAGTTTCGCTAGCGTAAGATACATTTTGACCAGCCTGGGCAACATGGTGAGACCCCATCTCTGCTAAAAATATAAAAATTAGCCAGGCATGGAAGCGAGCACCTGTAATCCCAGCTACTCTGGAGGCTGAGACAGGAGAATCACTTGAACCTGGGAGGTAGAGGTTACAGGGAGCCAAGATCGCGCCACTGCACTCCAGCCTATGCGAGAGAGCAAGGTACATTTTTACACACAGTGTTAAAACTGATCCTTTCTAGCCAGGAGTGCAGCCAGGGGACGTGACCAATTCAGTCAGAGGCAGGACAAGAGCCCAAGGAACCTGACTTCTAGTCTAATGCATCTTCCACTTACATCAGTATGCAAATGATTCAGTTGTCATTCATAATGACATTGACAGCACCCTGCATATAAATGACAACTTTCCTGTCTTCATGAAAATGCCTAGCTCCCTTTATTAAAAAATAAAAGATTGTAATGTCCCAATATCTTCATGAGTGTTGTGCTAAACGTTTGATAGTCAGTGACATCTGATTCCACTAAATAGGAATTTATAAAAATACATCAAAGATATATGCCTGTTTTATATATCTTCAGTGTTAAAAGACTGAAATAACCATCTTAATGCTGTTTAGACTAGATTTAATAAACATCAAATAATTATCAATACATAAATATGCTATCACGTATCCCTAAGTTTATAGTCACATGATTTGACTTACCAAAAAACCAAAATATTAAAATAACAAGCTATTTGTTACATTGTTGTTTAATATTGGGACTCTGTTAGCATAGTTTTACTAAAAGGGAGCCAAATACATGCTGGGGAAAGATACTAGAAAGCACATTCTACCTATGTAATGAAATATTCTAATAGCAGAATTATGTAACAATGTGCAAATACCTTTAGAAGAAGCTTGTGATGTTTGCTTGAAGTATTGATGCCTTTTTTATTAATACAGAACGAAATAAAGAATTTTGAAAGGGAAAATGAGTATGAATCCACACTTTGTGAAGATGCTTATGGCACACTAGACAATTTGTTAAATGGTAAGTATCTACTTGTTAGCAATATGCAAAAGAGAGAAACTTTTTTTTGTGTTCCGTGATAGTAACAATAGCCAGGTTTTGTGCTAAGCACTTTATATACATCATCACACTTAATCCACAAAAAAATCTTATTGAAATAAGAATTTTAAAAAATTGAAGTAAGGGCTGTTTTTATCTTCATTTTACAGATAAGGAAAATAAGGCTCAGAGAGTAACTTGCCCAGGATTGTGTAGCTTTAAATGAATGAGCCGTGATCAAGTCTCAGACTCAGACACAAAAATTTTCTACTATACAAGTATCCTTAAATGTGTATTGAGGTTGGGTGTGGTGGATCATATCTATAATACCAGTGCTTTGGAAGGCCAAGGCAGGAGGATTGCTTGAGCCAGGAAGTCCAAGGCTGTTATGAGCTATGATCATGTCACTGCACTCCAGTGGGCAACAGAAGGAGAACCTGTCTCTTAAAAAAAAAAAGCGGGGGCCAGGCACGGTGGCTCACGCCTGTAATCCCAGCACTTTGGGAGGCTGAGGCAAGTGGATCACCTGAGGTCGGGAGTTCAAGACCAGCCTGACCAACATGGAGAAACCCCGTCTCCAGTAAAAATACAAAATTAGCTGAGTGTGGTGGTGCATGCCTGTAATCCCAGCTACTTGGGAGGCTTAGGCAGGAGACTCCCTTGAACCCAGGAGGTGGAGGTTGCTGTGAGCCGAGATTGCACCATTGCGCTCCAGCCTGGGCAACAAGAGCGAAACTCCATCTCAAAAAAAACCAAAACAAACAAAAAACACCAGGTACAGTGGCTCACACCTGTAATCCCAGCTCTTTGGGAGGCCAAGGCAGAAGGATTGCTTGAGTCCACTAGTTTGAAATCAGATTGGGCAATAGGACGAAACCCCGTCTCTACTAAAAATACAAAAAATTAGCCAGGCATCGTGGTCCATTTTGGAGGCCTGGGTGGGAGAATTACCTGAGCGCGGGAGGCTGAGACTGCAGTGAGCCGAGATCACGCCACTGCACTGCAGCATGGGCAACCATAGTGAGACCTTGTCTCAAAAAAAAAAAAGAGAGCTGTGTGTTGATTTAACCCCAAATCTGTTATTCTAATCCTAAATTGACAGATGAAAGCTATTTAGGATTTAATCATATAATGAGATACATTGATCATGTTTTTGGTTTTGTTTTTGAAATGGATCTCACTATGCTGCCCAGGCTGGTCTCAAATTCCTGGGCTCAAGTGAGTCTCCTGCCTCGGTGTCCCAAAGTGTTGGGATTACAGGTATCAGCCACCACACCGGGCCCTACACTGATCATGTTTATTAAAGTAAATCTAAATGCTGTATACAAATGTCTTTATTTTTAATACTTGCAAATAATACTAAAATGAAAAGATTTGACAAGGCTTATTGAAATTATGGAATTTAATACATGCAGGTGTAAGAAAAATAAGCGCTGCCGAGGCAGGCGGATCACGAGGTCAGGAGATCGAGACCATCCTGGCTAACATGGTGAAACCCCGTGTCTACTAAAAATACAAAAAATTAGCCGGGCATGATGGTGGGCGCCTGTAGTCCCAGCTACTCAGGAGGCTGAGGCAGGAGAATGGCATGAACCCAGGGGGTGGAGCTTGCAGTGAGCCGAGATGGTGCCACTGCACTCCAGCCTGGGCGACAATAAGTGCTATAAGGATTAGAAAGGAAGAGAAGTAATTATCATTATTTGCAAATATGTACTTTTCTACATAGAAAAGTCATAAGCACCTACAGATGAGCTATTAAAACTAATAAGAAAGTTTAGAAGAAAGCTAGATATAAAATTAATATTAAAAAACCAATAGCATTCAATGCACTAGCAACAACAAATGTAAAACAGTAATTCTTAAAAACTTACTATTATCAGTAACAGCACAAACTAAGGTACCTAAGAATAAATCTAACAAAAAGTGTAAGTTTCCATTAAAAAACATTATAAAACTTTCCTGGAGGCCATAAAAAATAATTAAATGTTTCATGTTCAGATTGTAAAGATGTCAGTTTTCCTGAAGTCTATTGATTAATGCAATTTCATGTATCCTACCTTAATCCTAACATCCCCATTCAGAAGTGAAAAAGTTAAAAAAAATACCCAATACAATTTTGAAAAAGAAGATGTGGAGACTTACCCTGCTAGATAACAAGAGTTATTAGTTATAGTAATTATAACAATGTATTATAGGCAGAAGGGTAACAAACCAGTGGGATAAATAAAAGACAAAGTCCAAAAGTAGACCCATTTATATATGAGGACACCTGGTATTTGATAGAGGTGTCATTATAAACCAGTGGGGGTGTTCATTTGGTTGTGCTGGAACAGTTGGCTCTCTCAATGCAGAAAATGATTAGAACCTTACCTCACACCAAATACAAAATAAAGTCCACATGGGTAAAGGCCTACATGTGAACTGCAAAGTTCTAACTTATAAAAGAAGTGTAGAAAATGCTGTATTAGTCTGTTTTCACACTGCCATAAAGAACTACCTGAGACTGGATAATTTATAAAGAAAAGAGGTTTAATTGGATCACAGTTCCACATGACTGGGAAGGCCTCGAAACAGAATCACGGCACAAGACAAACAGGAAGCAAGGCATGTCTTAAATGACGACAGGAGGGGCAGGGGAACTGCCAAACACTTTGAAACCATCAGATCTTGTGAGAACTCAACTATCGCAAGAACAGCATGGGGAAAACCGTTCCCATGATTTAATTGCCTCCCACCAGGTCCCTCCCTCAATACGTGGGGATTACAATTGGAGATGAGATTTGGGTGGGAACACAGAGCCAAACCATATCAAATGCCTTTGTGACAACAGAAAAGATTTCTTTTTCTTTTTTTTCTTGAGATGGAGTCTCGCTCTGTCACCCAGGATGGAGTGCAGTGGAGCGATCTCGGCTCACTGCAACCTCCACCTTCCGGGTTCAAACTATTCTCCTGCCTCGGCCTCCTGAGTAATGAAACTACAGCTGCCTGCCACTATGTACGGCTAGTTTTTTTGTGTTTTTGTAGAAACAGGGTTTCACCATGTAGGCCAGGCTGGTCTTGAACCCCTGACCTTGTGATCTGCCGGCCTCAGCCTCCCAAAGTGCTGGGATTACAGGCATGAGTCACCACGCCCAGCCTAAGATTTCTTAAGACATGAGAAATGCAGGGCTGGGCACGGTAGCTCATACCTGTAATCCCAGCACTTTGGGAGGCCGAGGCAAGCGGATCAGGAGGTCAGGAGTTCAAACCCAGCCTGGCCAATATGGTGAAACCCCCGCCTCTACTAAAAATACAAAAATTAGCTGGGCATAGTGGCGCGTGCCTGTAGTCCCAGCTACTCAGGAGGCTGACGCAGGAGAATCACTTGAATCCGGGAGGCGAAGGTTGCAGTGAGCCGAGATCGTGCCACTGACTCCAGCGTGGGTGACAGAGTGAGACTCTGTCTCAAAAAAAAGACAGGAGAAATGCAATCCATAATCGATGCATTGACTACATTAAGAAAACGTCTGTATGGCCAAAGTATAATAAAGTAAAAAGCATGGAGTGAAGATACATGCAATATGTATAATTGACAAAGATTTGGTATCTAAAATAAAGAACTACAAGTCACTTAGAAAAAGGCACATAATGGCTGGGCACGGTGGCTCACGCCTGTAATCCCAGCACTTTGGAAGGCCAAGATGGGCGGATCACGAGATCAGGAGATTGAGGCAATCCTGGCTAACACGGTGAAACCCCGTCTCTACCAAAAATACAAAAATTAGCTGGGTGTGATGGTGGGCGCCTGTAGTCCCAGCTACTTGGGAGGCTGAGAAAGGAGAATGGCGTGAACCCAGGAGGCAGAGCTTGCAGCGAGCCGAGATCGCGCCACTGCACTCCAGCCTGGGGACAGAGTGAGACTCTGTCTCAAAAAAAAAAAGAAAAAGGCACATAATTCAGGCCGGGCACAGTGGCTCACACTTGTAATCCCAGCACTTTGGGAGGCTGAGGTGGGCAGATCACATGAGGTCAGGATTTCAAGACCAGCCTGGCCAACATGGTGGAATCCCATCTCTACTAAAAATACAAAAATTAGGCGGGCATGGTGGTGCACGCTTGTATTCCCAGCTACTTGGGAGGCTGAGGCATGAGAATTGCTTGAACCCAGGAGGTGGAGGTTGCAATGAGCCGAGATCGTGCCACAGCACTCCTGCCTGGGTGACAGAGACTCTGTCTCAAAAAAAAAAAAAAGGCACGTAATAGAAAAACAGGCAAAGTATATGTATTAGTAGTTTACTGGGGCTGCCATAACAAAACACCACAAACTGGGTAGTGTAAACAACAGAAATTGATTTTCTCATTCTTAGAGGCTGGCAGTCCAAGATCAAGGTGCCAGCACGGTTGCTTTCTACTGAAGCCTCCCTCCCTGGCTTGCAGATGGCCAGCTTCTTGCAGTGTCTCACATGGCCTTTTGTCTTTGTGTATGCCTTGCTGCTGTCTCTTCCTCCTCTTATAAGGACACCAGTCATACTGGATTAGGGCCTACCCTTGTGACCTCTTTTAAGCTCAATTACTTTTTTAAAGGCCCTGTCTGCAAATAAGAGTCATGTTTTAAGGTACTAGGGGTTAGAGCTTCAGCATATGAATTTTGGGGGCACACAATTGAGCCCATAACAGTATACAACAAGAAGATCACAGAAAAAGAAACCTGTAAGACCATTAAATACATGAAAGGATGTACATTAAGAAGGTCACAGTAAAATACCATTTCATGCATATGAATTTGACATGTTTTGGAGAGATGTGTAGAGCAAAGGAACCCAGAGGCTACTGGTAGAAGCATAAATTGGTACACTTTGGAGAGTAATTTTGCAATATCTAGTAAAGTTGAAGATATGTATTTTCTATAATCCAGCAATTTCACTTCTAGGTGTATCCCCAGAACCTAGCCAAAAGTTTTTACATTGGCATAGAAGGAAACATGTTCACTGCAGTGCTGTTTTTAAGGGCAAAATTAGAAGCAACTTAAATAGCCAACAAAAAAGGAATAAAGTGTAATCTTTCAGTAGAATGAACTACATATATATGTATATATGTGGCTAAGCCTCAGAAGCAAAATTTTGTGTGAAATAAAGACTTTTTTTTTTTTTTGAGATGGAGTCTTGCACTGTCACCCACGCTGGAGTGCAGTGGCATGATCTCGGCTCACTGCAACCTCCGCCTCCCAGGTTCAAGTGGTTCTCCTGCCTGAGCCTCCTGAGTAGCTGGGATTACAGATGTGCACCACCACGCCCCACTAAGTTTTGTATTTTTAGTAGATACGGGGTTTCACCATGTTGACCAGGCTGGTCTCGAATTCCTGACCTCAGGTGATCCACCCACCTCAGCCTCCCAAAGTGCTAGGATTACAGGCGTAAACCACTGCGTCCAAGACTTTTATATGGCTATAGATAGAGTGAGATGCTATTTATGTAAAATATAAAAGCACATAAAACAATACTATATATTAATCACTCACCTAAAGTGTTGCAGGGTATTTTGGAGTTTGAGGGAAACAGTGACACTGGACATCTATCAGACCCCCACAATCTGTTAGCTGTAGTTTTCACTATAAACCCATACTATAGTCCTTCCTATGATGTCTTATTTGTAAAGGTAGGTTTTTGGAGGTTGCTATAATAAAAAGCAAGTCCCGTATGAAAATCATTGTGGAATAGGAAGTGAGAGTGGTGGTCTCCAATCTGATTCCACGATTTGAGGTGCTGTACGGTGCCTAACAGTGTACATCCAAGTAGTAAAGTGTGGTTGTTTAAGAATAAAATATTATATTTTTCTTTTAGTTTATGTGTATTTTCAAACAGCTAATAACTTAGGACAAATACTAGTTTGAACTTAATTATTTACTAAATGGAACTTAAGTATTCCTTTTGGTCCAGAGGTACTGTGAAAAAAAGTACTGAGACATTAAGGGTGTCACAAAATGAGGAAATCTGGGAACTTTATTCTTTGGCAAGATTATGTTGATTTTATTATTTAGGATACATAAATCAGTAGTAAAAGTAAAATGGGAATGGGAAGAATGAATACATATGGGCTTCAGTACACTGGTTATCTCTGGGGAGGAGGAAAGTTAGATAAAAGGGATCAATAATTTGTAACATTCTGTTTTCTTATTTGCTCCTGATTTTAAAAAACATTACATCTGCATAATTTGTCATATTGAAAAATAGTATAGCATAGCATTTAGAAGTAGTAGTCTAGAATCTCAGCAGCACTGCTTAGCAGCTCTGTGACTTTGGACAAGTGACTTTAACATCTCTTACACTTCAGTTTCCTTATCTGTAAAATAGGGATAATAACAGTACTGACATCATGGGATTTTTGTGAGATTAAGCAAGTTTATATGTGTTTTCTATTATACTATCCTTGTCCTTTTGAAACATTGTATAATTTAAAACATCTTAAAATTACAGTACAACAAAAGAATTTTGAAGATCTCTTGAAATTTATTGTAATTTTATTTGACCAGAATTACATATAACACACTTTTTCCTAGCAGTCATTTGGGGACTTCTTTCCCCCATGTAAAAAGTTTTGTTTTGTTTGCTAGCACAAAACCATGCTAAAATTCACACAGTAAATAAGGTTGAAATAATATATAATTTTTAAGTGGCTACAGCAGTTTATTTGATAAATATAAATATAACTGTTACCATCCAAGTTCATGGTCTACTCGTTTTTATTTCCTTCTTTCTCTTTCTTATGAGATAACAACATTGAAAATTACTCAACGAATGCACTAATTCAGCCAGTTGACACCATCAGCATATCTTCCTTGAGACAATTTGAAACCGTTTGCAAATTTCACTGGGTAGAAGCATTTGATGATGAAATGACAGAGAAGCCAGAATTTCAAAGTCAAGTGTATAATTATGCAAAAGACAACAATATAAAGCAAGACTCATTTAAGGAAGAAAATCCAATGGAAACTAGTGTTTCTGCAAATACAGACCAACTTGGTAACGAGTATTTTAGACAGCCTCCTCCTAGAAGCCCGCCTCTAATCCACTGCAGTGGAGAGATGCTGAAATTTACAGAAAAGTCACTGGCTAAAAGTATTGCCAAGGAATCTGCCCTCAACCCTAGCCAACCTCCAAGCTTCTTATGTAAGGAAAGTGTACACAATAATATTGTAAAACCATTTGATAAAGAGAATAGTTCTAACCTAGTTCATCTGAGAGTTAATTATAAAGCAGAGGAGGTACGATTGTGATGGTCAGTAAAGCCTGTGGAGTATTAAAGGATGCATTTTAAAAATTGTATATATATATATATAATCTGAGACTTTTCCAAGTAGTGTTAAATCACCTAGTTAGCATGAGGGACTTTGCTTCTCTGGGGAAAATGCATTCTGAGATCTTAGCCAATTCAGAAATAAATTTTTCTAGTAAAATCAAGTCCATACTTGAGGATTAGCTCTACCAAATGGTAATTTCTCTAAGGATCAGGACTGTCTTACTCACCCTCTTATGCACCACAGCGTCTATATGTTTCCTTGAATATAATAAGCTTTTTTTACCATAATTTTTTTTCACCACAAACAAGTTTATTAGAGAAGTAAAGAAACAAAAGAATGGCTACTGTGTAGACAGAGCAGTCTGAATATAATAAGCTTTTATATTTGTTGAATCAAAATGGCTGGAAGTAGCAGAGTTTACACTGATGGAAAGGTCAAGAAGAGGAAGGAGTGCAGAGGCACTAATTCATTTTTCAAGAAAAACAAGATTTCTCTGTCATATTGGAATTCTACTGACAAGCAAAAAATACTACTTTTTCTACTAAAGTGAAAATATTAGTTTATCATTTGGTTTATTGATTCCGAGCACACATGTAGTATCCTAAGAGCACTGAAGATACCGACAGTATATATTCTGTGTACTTTCTGAACAAAAAAATTAAAAATACTAGGAATTGGTATGGGAAAATAGATAAAATTCAAGAATAGTATAAGTAATACCTTTTCTCTTTTTTTGTTGTTTTGTTTTGTTTTTGATACGGAGTCTCACTCTGTTGCCCAGGCTGGAGTGCAGTGGCATGATCTTGGCTCACCGCAACCCCTGCTTCCTGGATTCAAGCGATTGTCCTGCTGCAGCCTTCTGAGTAGCTAGGATTATAAGCGTGTGCCACCACACCTGGCTAATTTTTTTTTGTATTTTTAGTAGAGACGGGTTTTCACCATGTTGGCCAGGCTGGTCTTGAACTGCCGATCCACCCGCCTTGGCCTCCCAAAGTGCTGGGATTACAGGTGTGAGCTACCACACCTGGCCAATAATACCTTTCCAATGTGAGTTTGATGGGAAACACTATGACTATAATGTCTTATTTACAAGTATGAGCATTTTCATTTTTTTGAAAGTAGATGACAGCATTTAAAAGGACTTTATTTGTCCAAGTTGATTTCTGGAAAACAACCTTTTAAAAATCAGCTTAAATAGGGTTTCGCAAGATTGTTCTTTCCTCTTTTCATTGCATTTAGCCATTTTTCATTCAGTCAATAGATACTTTTAGGCATCTATTACATGGCAGGTCTGTACTACACATTAGGTGATGGTTAGAAAATAGACAAAAAGATGTAGTTCTTGTCCTCATGAAGACAGCATCCTACTAGAGGAGGTAGTCATTAATCAATCACACAAATAAATGTGAACTTGCAACTATAATAAGATCAATAAGGTGAATAAAGTTACATATAAAGTATATGTAGAGCATGTTATATAAAGTTACTATTTATGCTATGATGCTATATCAAGTTACAGATAAACTTGCAACTATGATAAGTGCTGCATATGTAAGTAGGTTGGGCATCTATGATAAGGACACTACCCTGATCAGGGAGTCTGGGGAAGGCATCCCTGAAGAAATGATCATTGAGCTGAGCTCTAAAGGATGGGTAGAAGTTAATTAGGCAGCCATGGGTAGGAGAGCCTTCCATACAGAAGGAAGAACGTCTGCAAACCCTGTGGCCACAGGAAGCATGGTACCTACTAGGACCTGAAGGAAGCCCTGAGTCCAGGAAGATCAGAGTTGGAGGAAGGAGGAGGGGTACAGCAGATGAAGACAGAGAGGTGGTGTGGGTCAGATACTGCTTTAGTTCATTTCATCTTGCTGCAACTATATCACAGACTGGGCAATTTATAATGAATAACAATTTATCTGGCTCACGGTTCTGGAGGCTAGGTCCATGGTGCCAGCATCACTCGAGGGTCTCTGTGCTGTCATTTCATGGTGGGAGGTGGAGGGGCAAAAGAAGGTGAGATCGAGGGAGCAAGTGGAGGCCAAACTAACTTTTATTTTATTTATTTATTTATTTATTTATTTATTTATTTATTTATTTATTTTGAGATGGAGTCTCGCTCTGTCGCCCAGGCTGCAGTGCAGTGGCACCATCTTGGCTCACTGCAACCTCCGCCTCCCGGGTTCAAGCAATTCTCCTGCTTCACCCTTCCCAGTAGCTGGGATTACAGGTGTGTGCCACCACGCCCAGCTAATTTTTTGTATTTTTAGTAGAGACAGGGTTTCACAGTGTTAGCCAGGATGGTCTCAATCTCCTGACGTTGCGATCCACCTGCCTCGGCTTCCCAAAGTGCTGGGATTACAGGTGTGAGCCACCACTCCCAGCCCCCAAACTCACTTTTGTAACAAATCCACTTGTGATAACTAACACACTCCTGTGATAACAACATTTAGTCATTTTTATTCACCTCTTACTAGGCCCCGTCTTCCAACACTGTTGCACTGGGGATTGGGGATCAAGCTTCCGGCACGTTAACTTTAGGGGATGCATTTAAAGCACAGCAGATATCAAGAGCAAGATATTAGGGCCTTGTAGGTCTCAGTAATGATAGTTATCTTTATCCCAGAACAATGAAAAACCATTAAGATACAAGGTTCTGCAGAAGGATGAGCTCAAAAAACAAAATACAGAAGTCCTTGTCTCTAAATTCCAGAGAATTATACAGCACACCACTACAGATACCTTTTACTGGGTTTTTACTTATTTATTTATTTTAGATACAAGGTGTCTTGCTCTGTTACTCAGATTGGAGAGCAGTGTGATCATGGCCCACAAGAAATCCTCCTGCCTCAGCTTCCCAAGGAGCTAGGACTACAGGCACATGCCACCACACCTGACTGATTTTTAAAATATTTTTTTTGAAGAGATAGGGTATCACTGTGTTACCCAAACTGGTCTCCAACTCCTGGTCTCAAGGAATCCTCTCACCTTGGGCTCCCAAAGTGTTGGGATTACAGGTATGAGCCACTGTGCCTGGCCTGGGTTTTGTTTTTGTTTTTTTTGTTTGTTTGTTTTTTGTTTTTTTGAGACAGAGTCTCGCTCTGTCGCCCAGGCTGGAGTGCAGTGGCGTGATCTCGGCTCACTGTAGCCTCCACCTCCAGGGTTCAAGCAATTCTCCTACCTCAGCCTCCCGAGTAGCTGGGACTACAGGTGCACACCGCCACGCGCAGCTAATTTTTGTATTTTTAGTAGAGATGGGGTTTCACCATGTTGGCCAGGATGGTCTTGATCTCCTGACCTCATGATCCACCCGCCTCAGCCTCCTGAAGTACTGGGATTACAAGCATGAGCCACTGCACCCGGCCCTGGGTTTTTAATGTCATATTCATTTCACCATTTCTTACCACAAATTACTGTCTTTTTTTATTTTTATTTGTTTATTTTATTATTATTATTTTTTGAGACAGAGTCTCGCTCTATCGCCCAGGCTGGAGTGCAGTAGTGTGATCTCAGCTCACTGCAACTTCCACCTCCTGCGTTCAAGTGATTCTGCTGCCTCACTCAGCTTCCCAAGTAGCTGGGATTATAAGCATGTGCTACCATGCCTGGCTAATTTTTGTATTTTGGGCAGAGATGGGGTTTTATCATGTTGGCCAGGCCGGTCTCAAACTCCTGACCTCAGGTGATCCACCCACCTCAGTCTCCCAAAGTGCTGGGATTACAGGCGTGAGCTACCTCGCCCGGCCTACTGTCTTTTTATAACCTCCTCGAGACCTCTATCGGCAGCATAAAGTCAATCATGAGGCATGTTCTTCTGCCATTCTAATGTTCCTGAGAGTCACAGAATAATGAGATAATGGTCTAAATGTGGAATAAAAAATATTCAAAAGAGAAGAGAACTTTCCCCCCTAAAAATCCAAACTTTTGGCCCAGTAATAACATGTAAAAAAAAAAAGAGAGAGAACTTGCAGTCTGTAAGGTAATTGATACATTTATTTGTCTGAATTTATTTGAAGTCAAAGCATCTTATATGTGTTCAGAGAAGTTTGCATAATAGAAAATGGTAAGAGGATGAAAGTTTAATTTTCCTTTTGTCAAAGTAAATGGGATGTATATCTGTCATATACCTACTGCCTGTGCCCTGCTGTGCTGTTAGGTGCTGTACAAACATTTAGCAATTAATACATAGGTATTAACTTTTGTTAATAGGCATTATTATTGGAAGTAGATACTATTGTTACTTTATAGCGGAGAAAGCCAAACAGGGGATCTACTAATAGAATTCAAGGCCAGCCCTATTTGACTTGAAAGCTCATTATCTTTCTACTCGTTCACACTTACTTTGTTTACTATAATTTACAGACTGCAGTTCCTTCAAAAGAAATACAGAATTATGGGGAGATTCCTGAGATGTCAGTCAGTTATGAAAAGGAAGTCACAGCAGAGGGTGTGGAGAGGCCAGAAATTGTCTCAACTTGGTCTTCGGCAGGCATTTCCTGGAGGAGTGAAGCATGTCGGGAGAACTGTGAGATGCCTGACTGGGAGCAAAGTGCTGAAAGCTTACAACCTGTTCAAGAGGACATGGCTTTAAATGAAGTCTTGCAGAAATTAAAACATACTAACAGAAAGCAGGAAGTGCGAATCCAAGAACTCCAGTGTAGTAACCTGTATTTAGAGAAGAGGGTTAAAGAACTACAGATGAAGATTACCAAACAGCAAGTGTTCATTGATGTCATCAATAAGCTAAAGGAGAATGTTGAAGAATTAATTGAAGACAAATACAAAATAATCCTAGAGAAGAATGATACTAAAAAGACATTGCAGAATTTGGAAGAGGTTTTAGCTAACACGCAAAAACATCTTCAGGAATCCAGGAATGACAAGGAAATGTTACAGCTTCAATTTAAGAAGATCAAGGCTAATTATGTGTGTTTACAGGAAAGGTACATGACTGAAATGCAACAAAAAAATAAATCTGTAAGTCAGTATTTAGAGATGGACAAAACCTTAAGCAAGAAAGAAGAAGAGGTAGAGAGACTACAACAACTCAAAAAAGAACTGGAAAAGGCCACAGCTTCTGCTTTGGACTTGTTGAAACGGGAAAAAGAGGCCCAAGAACAAGAGTTCTTGTCTTTACAGGAGGAATTCCAGAAACTTGAAAAGGAAAACCTGGAAGAAAGACAGAAACTGAAATCTAGACTTGAGAAATTGCTCACTCAAGTTAGAAATTTGCAATTTATGTCTGAAAATGAAAGAACGAAGAATATAAAACTTCAGCAGCAAATCAACGAAGTAAAAAATGAGAATGCAAAACTTAAACAGCAGGTTGCAAGGAGTGAAGAGCAAAATTATGTCCCTAAATTTGAGACAGCTCAGTTAAAGGATCAATTAGAGGAAGTCTTGAAGTCAGATATTACCAAGGTATTGATACACATTCTAAATCTCTAATGCGGAATTTCAAGAGTTTCTAGTGGTCTAGTGATGCGTATTTAGACGTGGCACTTATATTTGTTTGCAGAAAGAATTATTAAAGAAAGAAACAGATCTCGGCACTTTGGGAGGCTGAGGCAGGAGGATCTCTTGAGGCTAGGAGTTTGACACCAGCCTAGGCAACATAGTGAGACCCCATCTCTACAAAACATTTTTTAAAGCAGCCAATCTGTCATGCATGGTGGTGTGCGCCTATAGTCCTATCTATTCGGGAGGTTGAGATGGGGGAATTACTTGAGCTCAGGAGTTTGAAGCTGCAGTGAGCTATGATTGTGCCAGTGCACTCCAGCTTGGGTGACAGAGCAAGATTCTGTCTCAAAAAAAGAAAAAAAGAAAAAAGAAAAACAGATATGGAAAGGAAAATACACCACAGGTTTGGAGAAGTTTCTTTTGGTTCATGAATATTCAAAGAACAGCTATTCCTGCCTTCTTGTGGTTCTTTTGGTAGAGGTGGCCATTAACGTGGGAATTTTGTGGGTACTCATTGCCAGTCATCAAAAGCATCTTCCAGCAGTTACTTTTTTTTTTTTTTTTTGAGACAGTATTGCTCTGTCGCCCAGGCTGGAGTGCAGTGACACGATCTTGGCTCACTGCAACCTCTGCCTCCCAGGTTTAAGTGATTATCTTGCCTCAGCCTCCGGAGTAACTGGGATTACAGGCGTGCGCCACCATGCCCAGCTAATTTTGTATTTTTAGTAGAGATGGGGTTTCACCGTGTTGGCCAGGCTGGTCTCGAATTCATGACCTCAAGTGATCCACCTGCCTCAGCCTCCCAAAGTGCTGGAATTACAGGTGTGAGACACTGCGCCCAACCCCAGGGTTCCTTTGAGAAAAGATTTTCTAAGTTGTCTCTCAATCCTATTCAACAAAACAAAATAATATAATTGCATGTTTGGTTTACAAGGCAAAACAAACCTGTATCATATACTAGTTTTATACATTTAAGAACAGCATCAGAACCATAACAATATGTTTGGAGAAGCTGTAATCTTTTATTATATGTAGTTCAAAAGGCTTTTTTGGCAGCGAAGAACCTGGAAACACATTCTGGAAGTGATAATTTTCACAAGACAGAGCACATCTATTTCAGTTGTGTAGGCCTGCCTTAAAGTATGTATAGTAAAATCTTATTAAATGATTACTTAGAAAGAAGGCTAATATGAACTAGAAAAATGTGTAAGTTTATTTTTTGTATTTGTTTTATTTATTTATCTATTAAGACAGAGTCTCGCTCTGTCGCCCAGGCTGGAGTGCAGTGGTGTGATCTCCTCTCACTGCAACCTCTGCCTCCCGGGTTCAAGCAATTCTCCTGCCTCAGCCTCCCAAGTAGCTGGGATTATATAGGCACACACCACCATGCCCAGCTAATTTTTTTGTATTTTTAGTAGAGACAGTGTTTCACCATGTTGGCCAGCCTGGTCTTGAACTCCCAATCTCAGGTGATCCACCCTCCTCGGCCTCCCAAAGTGTTGGGATTACAAGCGTGAGCCACCGCACCTGGCTATGTTTATATTTGTTTTAATAACTTGAACTGAGCTGATGTTACCTTAAGATGTCCTTAGTGGACCCTCTTTTATGAATCTGTAATCATTTTAAGTATTCTTTACAAGTGAATGATTTTACTGTTTTTAAGGATTCTTAGGAAAATATTCTTTTCCTAAATTAAAAAAAAAATCTAAGATCTAAGAAAAAAGGATTATCTAAGCCAGTGGTTTTCAAACTTGAACATTCTTCAAAATTCCCTAAAACGCTTGTTAAAGCACAGATTGCTGGCCCTACCCTAGAGTTTCTGATTCAGTAATTCTGGGGTGGGGCCTGAGAACGTGCATTTCTAGCAAGATCCCAGTTGTTGATGCTGCTGCTCCTGGGACCACACTTTGAGAACCACGGACCTAAGCCACCTTAACTTGAGCTCCTAAGCAAATCATGATGAATTTTAAATTGGTAAGCTCTGAATGAATTAGTTTAATTGTACAGAAATTTAGCATAGTATATAATTTTCTTTAAGTTCCTTATTTTATTTTGATTAATCAATTTCTCTAACACTGAATTCATACTTACTCTGCTTATAGTTTTGCTTTTCATGAACTCTAGTTCTGTTTACTCCAAATATGGTCTGGGAGTATCTGTGAAGTCAAAAGTATTTTTATAGTAATATTAAGACATTATTGCCCTTTTTACTCTCATTTTTCACAAGTGTACAGTGGAGTTTTCCAGAAGCTACATGATGTGTGATGATGTAATTGCTCTCATGGCTGATGGAATGTGTGAAGCAAATATGAGAATCCAGCTATCTTCAATTAAGCCAGCATTAAAAATATTTGCAAAAAATGCAAAGCAGTGCCATTCTTTTCACAAATTTTTTGTTTCAAAAAATGTGGTAATTGTTTTTTTAAAAAATTGTTATTGGTTTGGCACAGTGGTTCACACTTGCAATCCCAGCACTTGGGAGGCTAAGGCAAGAACATTGCTTGAGCCCAGTAGTTCAAGACCAGCCTGGGCAACATGGTGAGACCCCCCATCTCTACAAAAAATTTGAAAAATTAGCCGAGTGTGGTGGCATGCACCTGTGGTTTCAGCTACTGGGGAGACTGAGGTGGGAGGATTGTGTGAGCCTAGGCATTTGAGGCTGCAGTGAGCCATGTTCACACTACTGCACTCCAGCCTGTGTGACAGTGAGACCCTGGCTCAAAAATAAATAAATAAATAAATTGTTATTTATGCTTCTACATAATGGAGTTATTGCTACTTTAAAAGAATTAGTAAACAAATATTTAAAAATATTCTCAGTTTTAATTTCTAAAGGGATCCTAAGATGAAAAAGTTTGAGAACTGTCGCCCAAGGTTTTTAAGAGTGCCATTTTATTCAGCATTTTACTTAAAAGATATTTCAGGTTCTTCATCATTATTTTGACAAATCTGAATTACGTGCATGTAGGATACAAAAACGACACATTCTAATCTGCTCCCGGATTGCTCACCTTGTGAAGAGAGGCTGAATCCTGCAGATATAAAAAGAGCTTCTCAGCTGGCCTCCAAAATGCACAGTCTTCTGGCTCTGATGGTGGGACTTCTCACATGCCAGGTAATAAAACATATATATTAGATATTTTAGTAGGGGAGGAATAAATACTGGGGTTGGACAAAAAGAGAGGCAATAAAAGGAATTAAGTTGTGGAAGAAGAAAATGAAGAATTGAAGATAAAATACAGACCCCTAAGCCATCCATCCAACCCTTCTTCGCCCCATGTCTTCTTTCTGCTTATCTTTCTTGAACACCTAATGCTCACAAGCGTAGAGATAGATAAGATGTAATAAGATAAAAAGAACCCTTTATTAAGTACTTCCCACGTTTCAGCGATGCCCTCCCAGATCAGTAGTCTTGTGCTCTGGTCAGTCTGCGCCTAGTGATTAATGACTGTTCACATTAATGAGCTGTTTGCCCAATCTAAAATACCACGTTTGGTTAGGAGTCGGGGAAGGGCAGTGTAGAGTTGTGTACATTAGTAGAATGAAAAGTGAAGTTGCTGTCAGATGAGTTCAGATGCTGGCTTATCATTTCCTAGCTGTGTAACTTGACCAAGTAACCTAACTTCCATTTCAGTTTCCTTATCTTTAAGATGGGGAAATGATGCTTCTGTCCTGGGAGCTTATAAGCACTGCATTTAATGAAAAAAACAATTAAGGGACATGCACGGCCAGGTGCGGTGGCTCACGCCTGTAATCCCAGCAATTTGGGAGGCCGAGGCGGGCAGATCACCTGAGGTCAGGAGTTCGAGACCAGCCTGGCCAACATAGTGAAACCCCATCTCTACTAAAAATACAAAAATTAGCTGGGCATGGTGGCGGGTGCCTATAATCCCATCTACTTGGGAGGCTGAGGCAGGAGAATAGCTTGAACCTGGGGGGAGAGGTTGCAGTGAGCAGAGATCGCGCCACTGCACTCCAGCCTAGGTGAAAGAGCAAAACTCTATCTCAAAAAAAAAAAAAAAATTAAAATAAAAAAAATGAAATCTTTCTGTACTAACCCTTTATTGGATGCCTTCTGATAAGTAATTGAGGAATGGAGTTCAATATGATTTTACCTCTTTTGATTGGCTTACTTATTGAAAGGAGATTTGTTTTTGTTTCATATGCATAGTTTTGGCCTCATTTTAGCTTTAGTAAAAACTTTTTCATCTAGCTTCTGAAACTCTTACCCTTAGGACATCATCAATTCTGATGCTGAACATTTCAAAGAGAGTGAGAAGGTTAGTGATATAATGCTGCAAAAACTGAAGAGCCTCCATCTTAAAAAGAAAACTTTAGATAAAGAGGTATTATATTTATTCTTCTTCTAAAAATTTTATTATTTTTAGTGAAAAAATAGTTAAAAGGTAGTGAAGAAGTAACTCTTAAAGTTGGAATCATTTTAAAAATTATTTTGGGGGACCAGATTAGTTTTACTGTGCCCCTCACTAAAGAGATAAAATGTTCAACATTTGACTTGTTTTATTGTTTGTCTGTATGGGAAAATCTCATTCACCTACAAAAAATTTAGTATGATAAATTTTTTCATTTTTGCACGGCACTACTGATTCCTGAAGGGTTGTTTATTTTGACTTTCCTATAGTGATTTCAAACTTCATCCTTTGGAATAACAGAAACATTGAAAATAATTTTATTTCTCAGGTGGCTGAAGGGTGAGGGCAGAGGTTCTTGGATTGTCTTTAGTTACTCTTTTCTTTAATTTTTTTTTTTTTTTTTTTTTTGAGACAGAGTCTTGCTCTGTTGCTCAGGCTGGAGTGCAGTGGCATGATCTTGGCTCACTGCAGCCTCCGCCTCCCAGGTTCAAGTGATTCTTCTGCCTCAGCCTCCCAAGTAGCTGGGATTACAGGCGTGTGCTGCCACGTCCAGCTAATTTTTTGTATTTTTAGTAGAGACGGGGCTTCACCATGTTGACCAGGCCGAATTTAATGAAATGCAGCCATTGAACTCCTGACCTCAGGTGATCCACCTGCCTTGGCCTCCTAAAGTGTTGGGATTACGGGCGTGAGCCACTGCACCCGGCCTCAAGTACTCTTTTCTAGGTGTGGTAGTATACAGATTGAAGGATAAAATGAAGAGAATTAAATAAGGAAGGTGATAACAGGATGTCAAATTGTACCATTTTGAATCTGAGAGGAATGCAGACATGAAAATTTTATCTGGCTAAAGGAATCAAAACGTATTCAAACCTGGAATCTTGGATCATAACAAATTCATTCTGTAACACTTATCTGAACTGACGTGTTGCGGGTATCCTGAAGAATCTCTCTGCCTCCTAGCCAGCCTGTAGAGGACAGGACCAAAGTATGAGCACAGTCATGCAGAGAAACGGCTGGCCTCTACTCCTCTAAACAGCTTTCAAAAATAAGCCCAACTGAGGTTGTTACAAAAATACAATTTCAGGCTGGGCACAGTTGCTCATGCCTGTAATCCCAGCATTTTGGGAGGCTGAGGGAGGCGGATGGCCTGAGCCCAGGAGTTTGAGACCAGCCTGGGAAACATGGGGAAACTCCGTCTCTACAAAAAATACAAAAATTAGCCAGGCGTGGTGGCACACACCTGTGTCCTAGCTATTCCGGAGGCTGAGGTGCGAGGATCACCTGAGCCCAGAAAGGTCGAAGCTGTGGTGAGGCAAGTCTCAAAACACTGTCTCAAAACAAACAAACAATAACAACAAAAAGCAAAAAAAAAAAAAAAATCCCCCAAATATTTCTTTCAGATATTTATGTTCTTTTGGTTAATTTTTTCTGTGTAATTACTGAAGTATTGACAGGTGATATGATGTCTGCAGTTTGATTCAGTGAAGGGGGATGGAGGGAAGAGGGCAGTGATTGAGGATATAATGACATTGACCATTAGCTGTTAATTATTGAAGCTGAATGATAGTTACGTGGTGTTCATTAAAGTTTTTTCTATTTTAAATATTGGAAAATGTTTGCAATAAAGAATAAAAAATATTTTGCACACCACACTTCACTAATCAGTTTGAATATTGGATATTAAGATTATTATTATACTGAAGGAATAAATAAGAAATGATTATAAATTACGCCCAGATTTGGCTAATTTTTTTCTTTAAGGAAAAATTTTAATAGCCTGACTGTAATAACAATCGTTATGTTAGGATAACTCCTTGGAGACCCCGAGACCACCCCCAGGTTTGATGATTAGCTGAAGGACTGTGAGTCGTCCTCACAGCTATGACTTACCACAGCAAAGGATACAATGCAAAATCAGCCGAGGGAAAGGCACAGGGGCATCGTCTAGAGAAAGCAAAACTCAGGCTTCCAAGAGTCCTCATGGAGTCACACAGGATGCATTTCGTTCCCCCAGCAATGAGTTGCAACCACAGGTGTGGAAGTGTCATCTACCAGCGAGGCTTCTTAGAGACCCAGTGCCCCAGGTTTTTATCAGGAGCTGTTCACATAAGCACCCTCTGCCTAGTGCGTACCAAAATTCCAGACCCCTGGAAGGAAAGTAGATGCCCATGCTTTGGGCAAGTAGGTTGAGCACCATAAGCCATTTACATCAGAGAATGGTGGAAAACTTTCTGCAGTCCAACTTTCCAAATGCCAGTCATGGGGCAGCCTTGCCAGCAGGCCTCTCTAAGCCTAGCAGTCTTGGACCTGCTGTGTGAATTCTTTTCCTCACAAGAGCTATAAAAACATATTTTTTGTATGTTTTTTGAAGACTGTTAGACTGCATGGTTTGATTTTTTTTTTTTTTTTTTTGAGACAGAGTCTTGCTCTGTCGCCCAGGCTGGAGTGCAATGGCGCCATCTCGGCTCACTGCAACCTCCGCCTCCCAGGTTCAAGCAATTCTCCTGCCTGAGTCTCCTGAGTGGCTGGGATTACAGGTGCCAGCCACCATGCCCGGATAATTTTGGTATTTTTAGGAGAGACAGGGTTTCACCATATTAATCAGGCTGGTCTTGAACTCCTGACCTGAGGTGATCCACCCGCCTCAGCATCCCAAAGTGCTGGGATTATAGGCATGAGCCACTACGCCCGGCCCGGTTTGATTATTTTATTATAAATATTAGAGCGTAGTTGTATTTTCTCTCTAAAATACAGAATGTTTTCCTTTTCTTAGCTACTGAAACATAAAGATAGAATCACAACCTTTAGAGAGTTAATTGCTAAGGAAAAAGCATTTCAAGATCATGCTATTAAGGTGAGCTTAATATTTACTACGTACTATCTTTAACATAAAAATATACAATTTCAGGTATTTATGTTCTTTTGGTAAATTTGTTGAAGTACTTCTAGTTCTAAGTTCTGCACTTTTATTATTCCAGCCACTGATAATCTCTTTGATTTTTAAACTAATAAAGTATTTATTGTCAGGTATTCCAAGGAGTATGAAATGATTGAAAGTGAGAACAAATATATTTAATCTCAGGTCATAGACTGTGATTCAGATGAAGCCAAGAGTATCAGAGATGTACCTACCCTTCTGGGAGCCAAACTGGATAAGTACCACAGTCTAAATGAGGAGCTTGATTTCTTGGTAAGAAAGACCTTTTTTTACCTTGCTATTATTTTTATACACAACATTATTTTACTAGCAAGTTTAAGAAGTTATCATCCTTCAAAAAACTGGCTTATAAAAAGGGTCACACACTGGCATCATGGCATTATTATTTACCCACAATAATATAGAATCGAAGTTTGCATTTTGGGGTTTTGAAATTTTAAATATTGTCCTACCTCGTTTCTGTTAAGATTAATCAGATTTGTTTCCTTCCAAATGCAGAAATTTTAAAAGTGCTGTTTTTTCACAGTAGATGAAGTACACTAATACTGTTGCATATGCTGCAGTAATAGCTGTGTACAACAGCCATGGTTAAGGTATGCTTCAGGCAATAACACTCATAATGTACTTTAGATGGTATTGTAAAGATAAAGGCAGATAAAATAGGAAAAATATGTTAGAAGAAAATGAAAATGTGATCTTAGAATCTAGATACTTATAGAGCAATTTAGGAATTCAGTTGGATCTCACTAAAATGAAAACGACTAATTAACATAATGAATTTTTATAGGAGTTAATTAGCTAAGTCTACCATCATATTTTTTAAATGATTAAAAAGCAGCATTCTATACTAAATTCATTACATACAATTCACTTTTAATAGAAAAGTGTCTAATAACGTGAAGGTTCAAAGCTTTCCTCTTTTGTAATTTTTTTTTCATAAGAAGTAATTATTGACCAGGCGCGGTGGCTCATGCCTGTAATCCAAGCACTTTGGGAGGCTGAGGCGGGTGGATCATGAGATCAGGAGTTCAAGACCACCCTGGCCAAGATGGTGAAACCCCGTCTCTACTAAAAATACAAAAAATTAGCCGGGCGCGGTGGCAGGCACCTGTAATCCCAGCTACTTGGGAGGCTGAGGCAGGAGAATCGCTTGAACTCAGAGGGCGGAGGTTGCAGTGAGCTGAGATCACGCTACTACACTCCAGCCTGAGTGACAGAGTAAGACTCTGTCTCAAAAACAAACAAACAAACAAAAAACCAGTAATTATTATTGACTTCCCAGAAAAGATTAAATAAGCTAATCACTAAGGAGCTAGAAAGCGAAACAAAACATAAACCCTGGTACTAAGGAATCTAGAAAAGAAGATAAGATACATAAATAACTGTTTATCAGAAGGAAAGGGAAAGTTTTTAGAGAAGAGGTACAATGGCTGGCATCTAACAGAGTGGATACTTGTCCGAGGACTGGAAGAGATTATTTCTAAGTGCAGGTTATGAAGGAGATGGCAGTTGGGTCTTAAAGACCAGTAAAATTTGGGCATAGGGAGCTAAGAGGACAGCACTCAATACATTCTGTTGTCCATTAGCAGTACCTATGCTTCAGGCCCTGGTGATACAAAGATGATGAGAGTAAACAGTAGTGTTCCCAGCAGTGGGAGCTGGAATGGGAACAAGGTCACAAATGGCAGAGTGTCAGACACACCTTTAAAATGCACTATAGGCTTTGATGTACAAACCCTATCTCAGAGTATCCAAATAATTGATGAGGGAGAGTTCTTTATTGAAGAATGTAAGCTATTAAAAGCTGAAGAAAAGATAAGTTTAGAAAATTATATTTTGCACTCCTGAATAAATTAAGGAATGTAAGCAGTTATCATAATGGCTGCTAAAACCTGTAGGTTCAAGATTAATAAGGAGTTTTTAATGAATGAGTCATATTGACCAATACTTGAACACACCGATAAATCTCAACCCCACTAACGGTGAGACAGGCAGACCCCTGCCCCTTGACATGGTGCAGAGGAAGCACACAACACCCTCCACAAGGCTTCTTACCAAAACTGCTGAATCCAAAAGCTAGCTTCTAGACCTAACTACCAGCAGACAGGAACTACAGTGGGTAAAGAAATGTACTTGATCACACCATAATGACAAATCCTGAATGTGGAGAACTCTAATAAATAAATAATTGGCATGAGAGAAGGGAAGGAGAGGGAATAACTGTTATAGACTAAGAGAGGCTAGAGACTTAGAGGACAAATCAGCCAGAGGCAGTGTATGAAACTCAACCAACCACTATAAAAAGACATTTGTGAGATAATAGAAAATTGAATTCAGCATATTAGATAATATTAAGAAATTTTATTGTTGATTTTAATAGATGTGATAGTGGTACCATTTTGTTTTTAAAAGCCCTTATCTGTTAGTATTACATTTGTTTGTTTGTTTTTAGAGACGGATCCTTGCTGTGTCGCCAGGCTGAAGTGCAGTGGCACGATCTTGGCTCACTGCAACCTCCGCCCCCAGGGTTCAAGCGATTCTCCTGCCTCAGCCTCCTAAGTAGCTGGGATTACAAGCACCCACCACCACACCCAGCTAATTTTTTGTATTTTTAGTAGAGACAGGGTTTTTCCATGTTGGCCAGGCTAGTCACGAACTCCTGAGCTCAGGCGATCCACCTGCCTCTCAAAGTCTCTGGGAAGTACTGGGATTACAGGTGTGAGCCACCATGCCCAGCCTGTTAGTATTACATTTTGAAAAGTATTTATGAGTGAATTAATATGATGGCAAGGTTTGCTTTAAAGTACTCCAGGAGAACAAAAAGGTGGCATAGTAGGTGTAGGGGCAGGGTTGGAGAAAGATAAAACAGTAATGGAAAATGTTGATAATTGTTGAAGTTATGGGATGGAAACATGGAGGTTCATTATGTTATTCTTTAGACTTGCATGAAAATTTTCAAGATAAAAAGGATTTTGTTTTTATTTTTTGGTAGTGCAGAATGTACTCCAGAAGATTCACACCTCATTCTCTAAGGAACTCTGGGCCAGCAAGGTGTGGCCGCTGGAGTGCAGGGTGATGCTCATGCTTCCCTTGGCACATCGTCGCGTGCTTCTCTCATGTCCTTCTGACCCCTTGCCGTTGGCTCCTCTTCACAGTTCTGACCCTGCCATCTGCTCCATTCACAGCCTGGCCTCCTCCATCCTGAGACAGGGTCCTTGACTTCAGCTTTGCCTTCCTGCTGGCTCAAGCATCCTGGGTGTTTAACTGTCAAGTGCAAAATGTCTCCTGGTCCAGGAAGACACTGATACAGTCAGGGATTTGACCACTGGGAACAAGGCAAAAGTCCACTTAATGGTACTGATGTTCAGAGTTCAAAGAGGCTCATAGTAAGTTCCTCCTAGATCCCATCTTCAGTAAAATAGATAACTTTTAATACAAATAAGATATCTCTAACCAGTATTATGGAGTAGTTAAAATTTAAAAATCAAAATCTGTCCTAAAACATACCACTTCAATATGGCAATCATATATTACGTAAAACATTTACCTAACTTATTATTTTGGTAGCCTTTAAAATTAACAGCTTGTTAAATTGTAAAGAAGTCACAAGAATAAGAAAGGAACAGGCAAAGTAGAAAATTACTGCTTTAGGAAAAATTTTCCAAGTGAGCCAAAAGAAAACAATCAAAGCCCAGTATCTTGTGGTCCACTTGAATGACCAAAGGGACCCACCTGTATCTGGATTTGGCACGGTGTTACCTTGAGTATACTTTATAGTTTGCCGGCCTCTCTGCCACTGACCAGCCTCCTAAGGAAGAGACTAGGATCATCACTAAAACTTGGGTCACACAGGTGGGAGGGCTGTCCAGCCAGATGGAATCTTACATTCTTAGTTTACATAGATGTCAACCTTACCAGCTGTTTTCTTGTTCTCTCAAGCATCCTGGCATTTTACAGTAGTCCTTCTGATACTCTGACTCTATCCCTCACCTTCCTAGTTCTGATTTTCCTAATTTCCATTCTAAAGCAAGGGTGGGAAACAATATTTGCACTACAGATCCTTGCTAAAGGATATCACACCAATCTGTTTCCTGACCAGCTCTTAGCAAGAGCTTAAGAGCTCTTGTATCTCTGAAGGATTATCTTTGCAGTTCTTTTGTTCCTCTAGTAGTAATCCTCAGTTTAGAAAAAATACATTTTACATCTTGATGGAATACTTATATGCACACACACACACAGCTAAAACATTGGGTTTTAAAATTCTGTTCTGTTCTATTCCATTTCATTTTTTATGTTGGTTATAAATTCATTTTACCACTTAATAAAGAGTCATAACCTGAATCATGTTCATGATGTGAAAGCTGCTGCTTGGAACATACTTTCTTGGCCCTTGCAGAATTGCTTTTACTGAGTTGTGCTTTGGTGTTAGACTCTCAACAATCCTAGGAAACATCCTTCTAATTTGCTACAGAGACATGGTTGTTTCACTTGGATGAGAACTTCCTTAGAGATCTCAGGCCCACTAGGACAAGTTCCTCTTTTAGAAGCAGGTATATTTTCATCACATGAATAATGACAACCAGATTTGTCATTATTTATGTAACTGACCAGATTTCCATTTCGTTCTAGCTACGAAGAAGTTTATTAGCAAATATGACACTGGAGTGTAGGTCTTAGCTATCTTCATATCTGCCTGTTGTTCCTCACCTGCTCTATATATTCTGGCTTAATGTTTAGTTTCTGATTGATATTGTATTTGTTTGTTTGTTTTTTGAGACAGAGTCGTGCTCTGTCACCCAGGCTGGAGTGCACTGGCGTGATCTCGGCTCACTGCAACCTCCACCTCCCGGGTTCAAGTGATTCTCCTGCCTCAGCCTCCCAAGTAGCTGAGAATACAGGCGTGCACTACCCCACCTGGCTAATTTTTTGGTATTTTTTAGTAGAGACGGGGTTTCACCATGTTAGACAGGCTGGTCTTGAACTCCTGACCTCAGGTGATTCACCCGCCTTGGCCTCCCAAAGTGTTGGGATTACAGCTGTGAGCCATCTCTCCCAGCCAGGTTTATATTGTATTGTATGTACACAACCTCAAAACCTTTGTGTAGAGAATTGGAAACTCAATCAGCCAATCTTCTTCCCATATCTCAATCTGCAAGGCTATTAATAATGATGCCTGATTTATCCACTGTTCATGGTGAATGTTATGTCTACCTTGACATACTTTCCCTCTAAGTTGACACTATCAGAGTGTAAGACAACCCTATATGAGGAAAGTGTGTTAATGCAAGTAAAAGCCTCTTAGGAAACCTTGAATTACGACCTAGATAGAGCTAAATACCCTGGCTTCACCTTATGGCCAGGCCACCTGGCCTGGCACCTCAAATCATAGAGGGCCTCAGTAACCCTCATAACAGGTGTGTGGTAGCAGGATAATGGCACCCCCAAAGATTCCCACACCCTAGTCCCCAGAACATGGCAGAATGGACTTTGCAGATGTGATTAAATCAAGGGCCTTGAGATTCAGGGGTACATTATCCTGGATTGTCAGGGTGGGTCCAATAATCATGAGTTCTTAAAAGTAGAGGACCTTTCCCAGACATGTCAGAGGGAGATTTGACTACTAAAGAATATTCAAAGCTACGACACTTGCTGGCTCTGAAGATGAAGAGAGGGGACCTAAGCCAAAGATGTGGGCAGCCTTTAGAAGCTGGAAAGTCTCCCCTAAGGCCTCCAGAAAGGAGCGCAGCCCTGTTGACACTTTGACTTTAGCCCAGTGAGACCTGTGCCAGACTTCCCACCTACAGAACTATAAGATAATCACTTTGTGTTGTGTGAAGCCACTAAGTTTGTGGTAATTTGTTGCAGCAGCGACAGAAAGTGAATACAAGATGTGTGACCTCAGTTTTTTAGTGATTTGGATTTCAGTGCCTCATAATATATTGAAGCAAGTTAATATATTATTAACTTGGAACTGTGTCCACAAATTTGGGATACAGAGAGGACCAAACCCAGGATATCTTTGGAGGGCTCATGACTGAGCAGTGCCACCTGGACTGAGTGAACCTCATCTTGGCTTCTCTGCCTCTCACTGGCTGTAGTCCACACTGCCCGGGGAGCAGCTCTCCAAAAGGACTTCCTCCTCTGCTATGTCAAATGTCTGTTGCTGTGAACATGACCCAACATGTGTGTTCAGCCTCTGCCTAACTCACCCCTGCCCTTAGAGCCTACATCTTCAAGGCAGTCAGTGAGGCCCATCACAACTTCTGTGGGTCTGTGTCTGTGCTCTGTGCTGCAGTACACATGGGCAGGCCACTCAGGAAAGGAGGTGCTGAAGAGGTGGCAAAGATACTTAACATCTTTAAGATACAAATTAGGCCAGGCAAGGTGGCTCACACCTGTAATCCCAGCACTTTGGGAGGCCGAGGTGGGTGGATCACCTCAGGTCAGGAGTTTGAGACCAGCCTGACCAACATGGTGAAATCCCATCTCTACTAAAAAATACAAAATTAGCCGGGCATGGTGGCACATGCCTGTAATCCCAGCTACTTGGGAGGCCAAGGCAGGAGAATCACTTGAACCTGGGAGGAGGAGGTTGCAGTGAGCCAAGATTGTGCCATTGCACTCCAGCCTGGGCAACAAGAGCGAAACTCCGTTTCAAAAAAAAAAAAGATGCAAATTAAAACCACAGAGAATACCACTCACCCGTTTTAGAATGTCTAAAATTAAAAAGACTGACTATACTAAGGCTTGGAGAGAATGTGGAGCAAATGCAACTCTCATTCGCTGCTGGTTGGGATGTAAAATTGTACAACCATTTTGGAAAACATTTTGGCGATGGCTTTAAAAGTTAAACACACACCTACCATTATTCTACTCCTAGTTTTTTTTGGTTATTGTTTACAGGGTATCACTTGCTGTGTCACCCAGGCTGAAGTGTAGTGGTGCAATCTTGGCTCACTGTGGCCTCCCACCTCAGCCTCCAGAATATCTGGGACTACAGGTGCACATCACCAGCCCTAGCTAATTAAAAAAAATTTTTTTTGTAGAGCTGGAGTCTTGCTATGTTGCCTAAGCCAGCCTCAAACTCCTGAGCTCAAGCAATCCTCCCGCCTCCGTCTCCCAAAGCACTGGGATTACAGGCATGAGACACTGTGCCTGGCCTACTCCTAGATGTTTACCCAAGAGAAATGAAAGCATATGTTCATACAAATATGTATGAGGTCTTTGTAGCTTTATTTATAATAAATAGCCCAAATCAGAAAGCAACCCAAATGTCTGTCTACAGGTGAATGGGTAAATACATTGTATATATTCATTCAATGAAAATACTCCTCAGTCATAAAAAAGGGATGAACTACTGAAACACATGCAACATAGAAGAACCTCAAAATAATTATACCATGTGAAAAGAACTAGACAAAAAAAGAGTAAATACTGTTTGGTTCCATTATATAACATTCTAGAATATACAAAGTAATCTATGATGACAGAAAGTGGATCAGTGTTTGCCTGGGACTGGCAGAGAGTGTGGAGGTCAAGGAAGGCAGATGGGCAGGAGGGAGGGATTGCTGAGTGGCAAGAAGAAACTTTGGTTGTGGAGGTTGACGGGCAGACTCATTATCTTGATGCTGGTGATGGTTTTGGAGGCATATATATATATATATATATATATATATATATATATATATATATCTCAAAACTTACCTAACCGCAGTCTGGCCAACATGGTGAAACCCCGTCTCTACTAAAACTATGAAAACTAGCCAGGTGTGGTGGCATACACCTGTAGTCCCTGCTACTAGGGAGGCTGAGGCAGGAGAATCACTTGAACCCTGGAGGCAGAGGTTGCAGTGAGCAGAGATTGCACCACTGCACTCCAGCCTGGGTGACAAAGCGATACTCCATCTCAAAAACAAAAACAAATATAAAAACAAACAACAACAACAAAAATTTACCAAACCATACACTTTAAATATGTGTTATTAATCGTGTGTCACTTATACCCTTAAAGCAGTTAAAATTTGTACGTTAGCAGAAACTCAAAATGTTGTATTTCTTTTCATGATAATCTAAAAACCCGGCTTCTGCAGAGCAATTCCTTTACCTTTAAAATAAATATTATTCTGTAAGGAAGCTTTTGCTATTCTTTATTTAATCTGAGGTTAGCAAATTAAAAAAAAATCCATCTGCAGACTTAAAAGGGTTGTTATTTTGATCTTGAAAGCTATTAAAGAATTCAAAGTGTGCCATGAAATCTATAATGAAAAAGAGAAATTGAGAAGGAATTCCACATTGCTTCAGTCAAGTGTCATGAAGCAGAGTGGAACCCCCCTCCAGGATGTAGTGAGGAGATGGGATGAAAAGAGCCTAACATTTTCTACTTCAAAAGTCTTTTAAATTCTCTTCACTTTTGTTCCAACTGTTAAATTGAGGTAATAACAACTAGATTAAGTACCTTAAATAATATATGTTGTTAGAGAAGTGGGACCACTGATTTGATATTGTCCTCATTAATTTATTCATATAAGAGAAAGAAAGTTGCTATTTCTGCTGCAAATTTGCTCTGTTATTGATTCCTCTAGGGTTCTTCACTACAGACATGTAAGTATATTTGAAACATTAGGCTGGGCGCGGTGGCTCACACCTGTAATCTCAGCACTTTGGGAGGCCGACGGGGGGCGGATCACCTGAGCTCAGGAGTTCAAGACCAGCCTGGCCAACATGGTGAAACCCCATCTCGACTAAAAATACAAAAATTAGCTGGGCGTGGTGGCGCACACCTGTAATCCCATCTACTCAGGAGGCTGAGGCAGGAGAATTGCTTGAACCTGGGAGGTAGAGGTTGCAGTGAGCTGAGATCGTGCCACTGTGCTCCAACCTTGGCGACAGAGACTCCATCTCAAATAAATAAATAAATAATAAAACATTAGATGATTAAAAGTCATTTAACATTGTTATTTCATGTTTATAGTTTTTCTTCTATAATTGCTTTGAAAATTAAGGTAACTGCTAGGGGAAATTGTGAATACCATTTCCTGATAATTAATTTCAGATGTCACATAATTTTTCATTTTTAATGGCTTTCTTGCAAATAAAAATTGGACCATAGGTCAGAAAATGAAATACATTAAGCTGAACCTTTTTAAAAACTTGCAGTCATTTATGCAAGGGAGAGTATTTCTCAAACCTGAAAATTATGCAAGGGAGAGTATTTCTCAAATCTGAAAAATCAGTGCTTTACTTCATATAGAGTCAAATATGTCTACCCATTGGCTATATATGGAAAGACGATAAGGAAGATTTGGGGCTGATAAATATTTGTATGTACCAATAGGTGTTCTGTTATTTGTAATGCTGTTTTATAGTATAAAGAGGAAAGGTAAAACCCCATTATAATTTTTGTTTATCTGTTCTAAGTGCAGTCCAACCATTATCTGGTTCATAGCCTCTCATGCTTCACCTACGGTACAGCTCGGTTTAGAAGAATATTGGAATAAAGTATTGCTCAGTTTTCTCATTTGTTCTTGGCATCCATATATAGCTTTCCTGGCAGGTTCCAGATTAGTATGTTTACTGATATTTCTCCATAGATCACAAAACTGGGACATCTCCTAGAGTCAAAAGAAAACCACTGCAACAGACTCATTGAAGAAAATGACAAGTATCAAAGACATTTAGGCAACTTAATAAAGAAGGTAGACATTTTTTTTTCTTTTGTATTTTGAGACAAGATCTCACTCTGTCACCCAGGCCGAAGTACAGTGCAGTGCTAACTACAGCCTCAATCCCCTGGGCTCAAGCAAGCCTCCTTGCCTCAGTCTCATGAGTAGCTGGGATTATAGGCATGTGCCACCATTCCTGGCTAATTTTTAAAAATTTTTGTAGAGACATGGTCTCGCTATGTTGCATAGGCTGGTCTCAACCTCCTGGTCTCAAGCAATCCTTCTGCCTCGGCCTCCCAAAATCCTGGGATTGCAGACCTGAGACACTGTTCCCGGCCTGGTACAAACTGCCTTACAGAAATATTTGTGCCTTTTAAAAACTATGCCAAATATTAATAGAATTTTAGAGCTAAAAAGGGTCTGTGGGATGATGTAGCACATTTATATTGATCCCTTTTACTTCATAATGATATTATAAAACACCCCCATTATCCTTTTAGCTGAAAGCTATCAAAGATTGTTGTGTGTGTCTATCCATTCTGCTGTTGGCAATTTAAAATCTTAGTATTGCTACTTCATTTTCAGGATAATTCTAAATCTTGCCAACTTAGTGTTCCAGTTTACCTTATTAAAACTGCCTTAACTTTAATCAAATGAACTCTAATCCCTAGTTGATGCATACAGTACTTATTTGGAAGACAACTAGATTATGGTTGACTCATTACTGTTGTCCATTTTTTGGTACTTCACGTTTTCTGCATGATTAATGGGCGTGTTATCATTCTTTTCTTTCATGTTCCTGATTTCAAAATGTAAGGAAAGTGTTTTGCCTATTATGAAACTTTCATTAATAGTCAGATAATTAAGCTTCAACTTGTAGTCATAAAAAAGAAAAAAATAAAAATTCTAGAATGAAAAATAATTGGTTTAGCTTATTTTTTTCAAGGTTACATCATATGAAGAAATCATTGAATGTGCTGACCAAAGGCTTGCAATATCCCACTCCCAGATTGCACAGTAAGTTGAAAAAACGAATCCTTAATTTTGTGAATATTTACTAATACCTTATTCTCTGGATTCTAAATTCTTTTTTTCAGACTCCTAGAAAGAAGAAAAATGTGCAGTTTTATTAATTAAGTTCATTCTTTATTAATATAGGTATAGACTGCTTAATGTCTGGACTACTTCAACAGTTAAGCAACCAGATTTTCATCTTCCTTTCTCAGAGCTCCCTTTGATTTAAAGGGGTGATGAAGGAATTACTAAGAAACATTCAGCAATTTTAGAGGACATTATCGTAGTATTCAAGTAAAATCTTGTAGTGCTTAGAAATTACTCACAAAAAGATATTGAATGCACACCAAATTAAACATATTCATACATATATCAAGAAGGAAATAAACTCATGAGAATGGGATTCAGCATGAAACACTGCAAAATTTGTGCTCCTAAACTCTGCATAGTTCTTATTTATTCATTATACTTGTTTCTAATATGCTGCTTCTTCCATCCTTCCCCCAATTTCATATATGCTGTGCTGGCTATCACTGGAGCTAACAAAAGGTCTAATTTTATAGAGACAGCGCCCCCAAAATATGAGCTTTCTATAAGCCTGCCTCACCCAAAATAATTAAAAGTGCATGCATTTGTATCTTAGAAAGTTTGCATTTGGTTTTCACAATTGTTTCTAAGCAGAACAAATGTCAAACAGTTTTTCCATTTTTTCAAACTAATGCAGGCAAGTTTTAAATTTGAAGAGGGGAGAGGATGTTGTATACTCAGGAAATGTAAAATTTGATTCCTCTTCAGCTTATAACCAAGGAAATTCAGCCAATGTTCAATGATCATAGGCCAATGAAATATAAAAATTAAAAAACTAATATTTAAAAATAATATCAAACTATCATTTTGCTGATATTGCTTTGCCTCAGTTATTTTTATTTTTATTTTATTTTATTTTTTGTTTTTTTTCCGTAGGTTATTGGGGTACAGGTGATATTTGGTTAGATAAGTTCCTTAGTGGTGATTTGTGAGATTTTGGTGCACCCATCACCCAGTCAGTATACACTGCACCATATTTATAGTCTTTTATCCCTCATCCCCCTTCCACACTTCCCCACAAGTCCCCAGAGTCCATTATATCATTCTTACGCCTTTGTGTCCTCATAGCTTAGCTCCCACATATCAGTGAGAACATACGATGTTTGGTTTTCCATTCCTGAGTTCCTTCACTTAGAATAATAGTCTCCAGTCTCATCCAGGTCACTGCAAATGCCATTAATTCATTCCTTTTTATGGCTGAGTAGTATTCCATCGTGTGTGTGTGTGTGTGTGTGTGTGTGTGTGTGTGTGTGTGTGTGTACATATATATAATAACAGTTTCTTTATCCATTCTTTGATTGATGGGCATTTGGGTTGCTTCCATGATTTTGCAATTTTGAGTTGTGATGCTACAAACATGTGTGTTCAAGTATCTTTTTCATATAATGACTTATGTTCCTCTGGGTAGATACCCAGTATTGGGGTTGCTGGATCAAATGATAGTTCTACTTTTAGCTCTTTAAGGAATCTCCACACTGTTTTCCATAGTGGCTGTTTACATTCTAGTTTACATTCCCACCAGCAGTGTAGAAGTGTTCCCTGATCACTGCATCCATGCCAACATCTACTGTTTTTTGATTTTTTTATTATGGCCATTCTTGCAGGAGTAAGGTGGTATCGCATTGTAGTTTTGATTTGCATTTCTCTGATCATTAGTGATGTTGAGCATTTTGTCATATGTTTGTTGGCCACTTGTATATCTTCTTTTGAGAATTGTCTATTCATGTCCTTAGCCCACTTTTTGATGGGATTATTTTTTTCTTACTGATTTGTTTGAGTTCCTTATAGATTCTGGATATTTGTCCTTTGTCAGATGTATAGAGTGCGAAGATTTTCTCCCACTCTGTGGGTTGTCTGTTGACTCTGCTGACTATTCCTTTTGCCATGCAAAAGCTCTTTAGTTTAAGTCTCAACTATTTATCTATGTTTTTATTGCATTTACTTTTGGGTTCTTGGTCATGAAATCCTTGCCTAAGCCAATATCTAGAAGAGTTTTTTCCAATGTTATCTTCTAGAATTTTTATAGTTTCAGCACTTAGATTTAAGTCCTTAATCCATCTTGAGTTGACTTTGGTAAAAGGCGAGAGATGAAGATCCAGTTTTATTCTCCTAGATGCAGCTAACCAGTTATCCCAGCACCATTTGTTGAAAAGGGTGTCCTTTCCCCACTTTATGTTTTTGTTTGCTTTGTCAAAGATCAGTTGGCTATAAGTATTTGCATTTATTTCTGGGTTCTCTATTCTGTTCCATTGGTCTATGTGCCTATTTTTATACCAGAACCATGCTGTTTTGGTGACTATAGCCTTATAGTATAGTTTGAAATCAGGTAGTGTGATGCCTACAGATTTATTCTTTTTGCTTAGTCTTGCTTTGGCTATGCAGGCTCTCTTTTGATTCCATATGAATTTTAGAATTGTTTTTTCTAATTCTGTGAAGAATGATGGTAGTGTTTTGATGGGGATTGTATTGCATTTGTAGATTGCTTTTGGCAGTATGGTCATTTTCACAATATTGATTCTACCCATCCATGAGCATGGGGTGTGTTTCTATTTGTTTGTGTCATCTATGGTTTCTTTCAGCAGTGTTTTGTAGTTTTCCCTGTAGAGGTCTTTCGACTCTTTGGTTAGGTTTTTTTTTTTTGTTTTTTTTTGTTTTTTTTTTTTTTTGCAGCTATTGTAAAAAGGCTTGAGTTCTTGATTTGATTCTCCACTTGGTCGCTGTTGGTATATAGAAGAGCTACTGATTTGTGTACATTTATCTTGTATCAGGAAACGTTGCTGAATTCGTTTGTCAGTTCTAGGAGCTTTTGGGAGGAGTCATTAGGGTTTTCAAGATAAATGATCATGTCTTCAGCCAACAGTGACAGTTTGACTTCCTCTTTGCCAATTTGGGTGCCCCTTATTTATTTCTCTTGTCTGACTGCTCTGGCTAGGACTTCCAGTACTATGTTGAAGAGAAGTGGTGAGAGTGGGCATCCTTGTCTTGTTCCAGTTCTCAGAGGGAATGCTTTCAACTTTTCCCCATTTCAGTATTATGTTGGCTGTGGGTTTGTCATA
The DNA here is from genome assembly GCF_000001405.40 of Homo sapiens. Classification (NCBI taxonomy): domain Eukaryota; kingdom Metazoa; phylum Chordata; class Mammalia; order Primates; family Hominidae; genus Homo; species Homo sapiens. Next base: position 7,351,900 of record NC_000006.12, on the reverse strand, counting down.
GATGGCTTTTATTACATTGAGGTATGTCCCTTGTATGCCAGTTTTGCTGAGAATTGTAATCATAAAGGGATGCTAGATTTTGTCAAATGCTTTTTCTGAATCTATTGAGAAGATCATATGATTTTTGTTTTAAATCCTTTTTATGTAGTGTATCACATTTATTGACTTGCATATGTTAAACCACCCCTGAATCCCTGGTGTGAAACCCAGTTGATCATAGTGGATTATCTTTTTGATATGTTGTTGGACTCAGTTAGCTAGTATTTTGTTAAGGAGTTTAGCGTCTGTGTTCATCAGGGATAGCAGTCTGTAGTTTTTTTTTTTTTTCTATTCCAAAATGCTGTGATCTTATTTTATTTTATTTTATTTTTATTATACTTTAAGTTTTAGGGTAGTTTTCTTTTTTGATTTGTGTTCTTTCCTGGTTTTGGTATTAGGGTGATGCTGGCTTCATAGAATGAATTATGGAGGGTTTTCTCTTTCTCTACCTTGTGGAATAGTGCCAAAAGGATTGCTACCAATTCTTCTTTGAATGTCTGGTAGAATTCTGCTGTGAATCCATCTGGTCCTGGACTTTTTTTGTTGGTAATTGTTTAATTACCATTTCAATCTCGCTACTTGTTATTGGTCTGTTCAGGGTATCTAATTCTTCCTGATTTAAGCTAGGAAGGTTGTATTTTTCCAGGAATTTATCCATCTCTTGTAGGTTTTCTAGTTTATGTGTGTAAAGATGTTCATAGCAGCATTGAATGATCTTCTGTATTTCAGTGGTGTCAGTTGTAATATCTGCTATTTCATTTCTTAATGAGGTTATTTAGATTTTCTCTCCTTTTCTTGGTTAGTCTTCAATTATATTTATCAATGATCTATCAATTTTATTTATCTAATAAATGATCTATCAATTTTATTTATCTTTTCAAAGAACCAGCTTTTTGTTTCATTTATCTTTGTATTGTATTTTTTGTTTCAATTTAATTTAGTTCTGCTCTGATATTGGTTATTTCCTTTCTTCTGCTGGGTTTGAGTTTGGTTTGTTCTTGTTTCTCTACTTCCTTGAGGTGTAACCTTAGACTGTCAGTTGGTGCTCTTTCCGTCTTTTTGATGTAATTGTTTAGGGCTATAAACTTTCCTCTTATTGCCACCTTTGCTGTACTCCAGAGGTTTTGATAGGTTCTGTCATTATTGTAGTTGAGTTCAAAGGATTTTTAAATTTCCTTCTTGATTTCATTTTTGACCCAATGCTCATTCAGGAGCAGGTTATTTAATTTCCATGTATTTGCATGGTTTTGAAGGTTCCTTTTGGAGTTGATTTCCGGTTTTATTCCACTGTGGTCTGAGAGAGTGCTTGATATAATTTCAGTTTTCTTAAATTTATTGAGGCTCGTTTTATGGCCTATGATATGGTCTATTTTGGAGAAAATTCCATGTGTTGTTGAATAGAATGTGTATTCTGCAGTTCTTGGATGAAATGTTCTGTATATATCTGTTAAGTCCATTTGTTCCAAGGTATCGTTTAACTCCATTGTTTCTTTGTTGACTTTCTGTCCTGATGACCTGTCTAGTGCTGTCAGTGGAGTATTGAAGCCAGCCCCCAGTATTATTGTGTTACCATCTATCTCATTTCTTAGGTCTATTAGTAATTGTTTTATAAATTTGGGAGCTCCAGTGTTAGGTGCATATATGTTTAGGATTGTGATATTTTCCTGTTGGACGAGGCTTTTTACCATATAATGTCTCTCTTTGTCTCTTTTAACTGCTGTTGCTTTAAAGTTTGTTTTGTCTGATATAAGAATAGCTACCCCTGCTCGCTTTTGGTGTCCATTTGCATGAAATGCCTTTTTCCACCCCTTTACTTTAAGTTTATGTGAGTCCTTATGTGTTAGGTAAGTCTCCTGAAGGCAGCAGATAGTTGGTTGATGAGTTCTTTTTTTTTCTTCTTTCTTTCTTTCTTTCTTTTTTTTTTTTTTTGAGACAAGTGTTTCACTCTTGTCGCCCAGGCTGGAGTGCAACAGTGAGATCTTGGCTCACGGCAACCTTGGCCCCTGGGCTCAAGCGATTCTCCTGCCTCAGCCTCCTGAGTAGCTGGGATTACAGGTGTGCACCACCACACCTGGCTAATTTTGTATTTGTAGTAAAGATGGGGTTTCACCATGTTGGCCAGGCTGGTCTCAAACTCCTGACCTTAGGTGGTCCACCCGCCTTGGCCTCCAAAAGTGCTGGGATTACAGGCATGAGCCACTGCACCTGGCCAGTGAGTTCTTATCCATTCTGCAGTTCTGTATCTTTTAAGTGGGGCATTTAGGCCATTTATATTCAATGTTAGTATTAAGATGTGAGGTACCATTGCTTTCATCATGCTATTTGTTGCCTGTGTACCTTGGTTTTTTTTTGTTTTTTAAATTGTATTTTTGTTTTATAGGTCCTGTGTGATTTATGCTTTAGAGGAGTTCTGTTTTGATGTGTTTCCAGGATTTGTTTCAAGATTTAGAGCTCCTTTTAGCAGTTCTTGTAGTGGTGGCTTGGTAGTGGGGAATTCTCTCAGCATTTGTTTGTCTGAAACAGACTGTATCTTTCCTTCATATATAATGCTTAGTTTGGCTACATACAAAATTCCTAGCTGATAATTGTTTTGGTTGAGGAGGCTGAAGATAGGGCCCCAAACCCTTCTAGCTTGTAGGGTTTCTGCTGAGAAATCTGCTATTAATCTGATAAGTTTCCTTTATAGGTTACCTGGTGCTTCTGTCTCACAGCTCTTAAGATTCTTTCTTTCATCTTAACTTTAGATAACCTGATGACAATGTACCTAGGCGATGATCTTTTTGCGATGAATTTCCCAGGTGTTTTTTGTGCTTCTTGTATTTGGATGTTGCGGTCTCTTGCAAGGCCAGGGAAGTTTTCCTCGATTATTCCCCAAATATGTTTTCCATACTTTTAGATTTCTCTTCTTCCTCAGGAACACCGATTATTCTCAGGTTTGGTCGTTTAACATATCCCAGACTTCTTGGAGGCTTTGTTCATATTTTCTTTTTCTTTTTTCTTTGTCTTTGTTGGATTGGGTTAATTCAAAGACCTTGTCTTCTAGCTCTGAATTTCTTTCTTCTACTTGTTCAATTCTATTGCTGAGACTTTCCAGAGCATTTTGCATTTCTATAAGTGTGTCCAATGTTTCCTGAAGTTTTTTTTTCTTTATGCTATCTATTTCCTTGAATATTTCTCCCTTCACTTCTTTTATCATTTTTTGGATTTCCTTGAATTGGACTTCACCTTTCTCTGGTGCCTCCCTGATTAGCTTAATAACTAACCTCCTGAATTCTTTTTCAGGTAAATCAGGGATTTCCTCTTGGTTTGGATCCATAGCTGGTGAGCTAGTGTGATTTTGGGGGATGTTAAAGAGCCTTGTTTTGTCATATTACCAGAGTTGGTTTTCTGGTTCCTTTTCATTTGGGTAGGCTTTGTCAGAGGGAAGGTCCAAGGCTGTTGTTTAGATTCTTTTGTCCCATGGGGTGTTCCCTTGATGGGGTGCTCTTCCTCTTTTCCTGGGGATGTGGCTTCCTATGGGCCGAGCTGCAGTGATTGTTACCTTTCTTTGGGGTCTAGCCACCCAGCAAGTCTACCTGGCACCAGGCTGGTACTGGGGGTTGTCTGCACAGAGTCCTGTGATGTGAACTGTCTATGGATATCAGCTGTGGCTATCAGCACCTGTTCCCGTGGACGTGGCAGGGGGGTGAAATGGACTCTGTGAGCGTTCTTAACTTGGGTGGTTTAATGTTTTATTTTTGTACTGGTTGGCCTCCTGTGAGGAGGTGGCACTTTCCAGAGAGCATCAGCTGTGTAGTATGGAGAGAAAAGGAACCGGTGGTGAGCAGGGCCCTAGAACTCCCAAGAATATATGCCCTTTGTCTTCAGCTACCAGGGGTGGATAGGGAAGGCCCATCAGGTAGGGGCAGGGCTTGGTGTGTCTGAGCTCAGACTCTCCTTGGGCAGGTCTTGCTGCAGCTGCTGTGGGGGATGGGGTTGAGATTCCTAGGTCACTGGAGTTGTGTACCTAGGAGGATTATGGCTGCCTCTGCTGAGTCATGCAGGTTGTTCGGGAAGTGGGGGAAAGCCTGCAGTCACAGGCCTCACCCAACTCCCACACAATCCAAAGGGCCTGTCTCACTCTCACCATGCCCCCTTTTACAGTCTGTTTCCAGGCAGTGGGTGAGCAGGGCTTGAGAACTTGCCCCAGGCTACCTGCCTCCCAGCTGTGAAAGAACAGGGCTTTGGTTATTTTCCCTCCTGTGGAGTCTGCAAACCAGATAGATTTCCCACCCTCCCCCACGTTCTGGCCAGGAGGCTTCTTGCTCAATTCAAATTGTTACAAAGTTCCCCCACCGCCCCCCCCAACCCCCCCCCCCACCCTCGCTTTGGATCCCTGTGGGGCCAGGCAGGAAGGGCCTGCTTGGGGACCCAGCGAGCTCCCAGGGCCTTTCCCGCTGCTTCCTCTACCCCTGTATTTCGCTTGGCTCTCTAAATTGACTCAGCTCCAGGTAAGGTCGGAAACTTCTCGCAAACTAGACCTTCATTTTCTTCAGTTGGGGTTTGTGTTTGGGAGCAGAGGGTCTCCCTTTCCCACTTCTGCAGTTTGGGCCCTCACAGTATTTGGGGTGTCTCCCAGCTCCTGCAGGAGCAGTCCGCTTCCTTCAGAGGGCCTGTGGGTCCTGTCAGGATTCCTGATTTGTTCTTGCAGTCATTCTGGAGCTAAAATTCATGACGCGAGCCTCCACACACTGCTCTGTCCATCCTAGTCAGAACTGCAATCTAGTCCTGCCTCCCGTCCACCATGAGGATTGCCCCAGTTATTTTTAAATTAAAAAATGTAAATATTCTGCAGGGCTTGGGTGAAAAAAAATTTTTTCCTAATGTATATTTCAGTTGAGTGGTTGATCCAATTTGTGTTGAAGAAGAGACCATAGGTCAGAATCTGAATTTAGGCTTTATCATAAGCATTGTCAACTGTGGCTGCTTATTAGAATCTTCTTTCTTTCTTCTTTTTTTTTTTTTGAGATAGAGTCTTGCTCTGTTGCCCAGGCTGGAGTGCAGTGGCACAATCTCAGCTGGAGTCAGTAGCACAGTGTCTGCCTCCCAGGCTCAAGCAATTCTTCTGCCTCAGCCTCCTGAGCAGCTGGGACCACAGGTGTGCACTACCACACCTGGCTATTTTTTTTTCTTTTTTCAGTAGAGACAGGGTTTTGCCGTGTTGGCCAGGCTGGTCTCTAACTTTTGGCCTCAAGTGATCCATTCACCTCAGCCTCCCAAAGTGCTGGGATTACAGGTGTGAACCACCGTGCCCAGCTAACTTTTTTGTTTTTTGAGACAGGGTCTGGCTCTGTCGCCCAGGCCGGAGTGCAGTGGCGCAGTCTTGGCTCACTGCAATCTCCATCTCCTGAGCTCAAATGATCCTCCCACCTCAGCCTCCCAAGTAGCTGGGACTACAGGCATGCACCACCATGCGTGACTTTTATTTATTTTAGAAACAGGGTCTTGCTGTGTTGCCCAGGCTGGTCTTGAACTCCTGGACTCAATCAGTCCTACCACCTTGGCATCCCAAAGTGCTGGGATTACAGGCGTGAGTCACTGCACCCGCCCTGATTTACTTTTTAAAAAATCAAATCTAGTCTGTTATATCCATGAAGAACAGTATTTTTAATTATAGTGAATTAGCTTTACTCTCATTAAAAGGTATACACTGCTTCAAAAATTATCAGGCTGTTTTGCCTACGGAGTAGCCATTCTTTTATTCCTTTATTTCTTGATAAACTTGCTCTCACTTTATAGGTTCACCTAAAATTTAAAAAAAATTATCAAATACACACATCATCAGAACAATATTCTTTTAAATTGGTGCTAGTCTATTGATTCTGCTAAAATTTAATAGAGTTTGAGGTATTGTTCTTCAAATGCATTCATAGGCTATACTGTAATTTTTCTTTTTTTGAGATGGACTCTCGTTCTGTCACCCAGGCTGGAGTGCAGTGGTACAGTATCGGCTCACTGCAAGCTTCTCCTCCCGGGTTCACACCATTCTCCTGCCTCAGCCTCCCAAGTAGCTGGGACTATGGGGGCCTGCCACGACGCCCAGCTAATTTTTTTTGTATTTTTAGTAGAGACGGGGTTTTAGTCAGCCAGGATGGTCTCAATTTCCTGACCTCATGATCTGCCCGCCTCAGCCTCCCAAAGTGCTGGGATTACAAGCATGAGCCACTGCGCCGGGCCTGTAATTTTTCCGTTCACAGGCCTTAGACGTTAGAAACAGCTGTTTACTATGAAAGCTATTAGTGACATTGTTTTTCTAAAAGGCTGAAAGAAAACTACTTGGTGATAGCTTACTCTGTATATGCAGCCAGAGTGATCTTGCTGAAATATAATGTGAGTATGCCATTTTGTGTCTGGACTTGGGCTACTTGGTCTCACTTCAAGAATGAAACCACAGACCCCTGCAGTGAGGGTTACAGCTCTTAAGATGGCACATCTGGCGTTTGTTCCTTCTGATGTTCTGATGTGTTCAGAGTTTCTTTCATCCTGCTGGGTTTAGTGGTCTCGCTGGTTCAGAAATAAAACTGCAAACCTTTAACAGTCAGTGCTGCAACTCTTAAGGTAGCGTGTCTGGAGTTGTTCCTTCTTCTTGGTAGGCTGGTAGCTTATACTAACTTCAAAGAGTGAAACTACAAACCTTCACAAGGAGTGTCATAGCTCCTAAAAGCAATATGGACCTAGCTCCTAAAAGCAATATGGATCTAAAGAGCAAACAGCAACAAGAGTTAAGATTTACTGCAGGGTGAAAGAACAAAGCTTTCAACACCAGCCATCTGCCGCTGCTGGCTTGGGCACCCTGGTTTTATTCTCTTATCTGGCCCCACCCACATCCTGCTGATTGGTAGAGCCGAGTGGCCTGTTTTGACAGGGCGCTGATTGGTGCGTTTACAATCCCTGAGCTAGGCGCAAAGGTTCTGCACGTCCCCACCAGATTAGCTAGATACAGAGTGTCGACACAAAGGTTCTCCAAGGCCCCACCAGAATAGCTAGATACAGAGTGTTGATTGGTGCATTCACAAACCCTGAGCTACACACAGGGTGCTGATTGGTGTGTTTACAAACCTTGAGCTAGATACAGAGTGCTGATTGGTGTATTTACAATCCCTGAGCTAGACATAAAGGTTCTCCACCTTCCCACCAGACTCAGAAGCTCAGCTGGCTTCACCCAGTGGATCCGGCACCGGGGCTGCAGGTGGAGCTGCTTTCCAGTCTCGGGCCGTACGCCCGCACTCCTCAGCCCTTGGGTGGTGGATGGGACTGGGCGCTGTAGAGCAGGGGGCGGCGCTCATCCAGGAGGCTGGGCCGCACAGGAGCTCATGGAGGGGTTGCGAGGCTCAGGCATGGCGGGCTGTAGGTCCCGAATCCTGCCCTGCGGGAAGGCAGCTAAGGCACGGTGAGAAATCGAGCACAGCGCCGGTGGGCTGGCACTGCTGGGGGACCCAGTACACCCTCTGCAGCCGCTGGCCCGGGTGCTAAACCCCTCATTGCCCGGGCTGGCAGGGCCGGCTGGCTGCTCCGAGTGCGGGACCCGCCAAGCCCACGCCTACCCGGAACTCCAGCTGGCCCGCAAGCGCCACGCCCAGCCCCGGTTCCCGCTGGCGCCTCTCCCTCTACACCTCCCTGCAAGCTGAGGGAGCCAGCTCTGGCCGTGGCCAGCCCAGAAAGGGGCTCTCACAGTGCAGCGGTGGGCTGAAGGGCTCCTCAAGTGCCACCAAAGTGGGAGCCCAGGCAGAGGAGGTGCCGAGAGCGAGCGAGGGCTGTGAGGATTGCCAGCACGCTGTCACCTCTCACCACTTTCTAACACTTAAGTCCAGATCTGTCTGTTTCAGATGTAGAAGTTCCTGCTCCAAACAACATTACGTGCTGTCTGTGTTTTTGATGAATCTATCCCATTTCTTCCTTTGTAGGAAGGAGCACCTGCCTACAAAATGAGACTTGTTCTATCTTTGTCCCCATCACAATCATTACATCATCCTGGTGAGAGGTCGATCCTCTTATAAAAATGTTCCAGTTCATTTCCTGTCCTGGCTTCCCATTTTCTCAAGCCCTGCTACCTTGTTATTCAAGGTGACCTTCTATTCCATTCCTACCCATTATATGATCCCTGATCATAATCTGTAGTTTTTGAAGTCACTCATCAAAATCTGCATTAACTTATTTACTATTCACCATCCACAGAATGCCAACAGAGTCCTGGAAGAATACTTCCATGCCATATCTCCTACAGACAACACTGAATTCATAAATGACAACTCACTGCCCTGTCACAGCAACTGTTATTTCTACCCACATGAAGCCCCTGTAAATGTTTTTCCATGCAAAACCATATCAAAAATAACAGAAAATTTCAGTGTAAATCCACAACCTTTCTTTCTAAGTTTCATGATACTTTGAGTACAGAATGATCAAAAAGTTTGATTGGATTGAACATTCTTTTAAAAATCCATGTGATTTTATACCTTGATCATAGAGAATAAGGTGAACATTTGTTTACCCCTAAAACTTGTAAACCCCACAGAAAGCTGCATTTCAGTATATAGTAAAAACAACATTAGTACTGCCCTTATTTATAGTCACAATCCCATTGTATTTCTTTGACTTCTTTTTCTTTTCTTTTCTTTTCTTTTTTTTTTTTGTGGGACAGAGTCTCGCACTGTCGCCTGGGCTGGAGTGCAGTGGTGCCATCTCAGCCCACTGCAACCTCCACCTCCCGGGTTCAAGCGATTCTCCTGCCTCAGCCTCCCAAGTAGCTGGGATTACAGGCACCCACCACCACACCTGGCTAATTTTTTTGTATTTTTAGTAGAGACAGGGTTTCACTATGTTGGCCAGGCTTCTTTTTTAATGAAAAAAGGGTTGGCATAAATACAGCCAACTGATCTTCAACAAAGCAAACAAAAACATAAAGTGGGGAAAGCACACCCTATTCAACAAATGGTGCTGGGATAATTGGCAAGCCACATGTAGAAGAATGAAACTGGATCCTCATCTCTCAACTTATATACAAAAATCAACTCAAGATGGATCAAGGACTTAAATCTAAGACCTGAAACCATAAAAATCCTAGAAGATAACATCAGAAAAACCCTTCTCGACATTGGCTTAAGCAAAGACTTCATGACCAAGAACCCAAAAGCAAATGCAACAAAAACAATGATTAACACATTCATTGAGGAGAAGGGTGGCAGAGCAGTTCCCTGAGCACTGACAGTCAAGGACAGTTTGTTCAGTGAGGCTTTAGACTGGAGAGAAGATAAGTGAAAACAGAGACAGAGGTGACAGCCAGCCTGCAGGAGCCACTACAGATACCCGGAGTATGAGTCATCAGTCAGACACCCTTCCTGTGCCATCTGGCCAGATGAGAGGCCAGGTCCTCAGAGACCAGAGCATCTATACCCAGCTGTTGAGATGATGCTGCACTTGCGGTAGACCATGAGGGAGTACTTCATGCAGCTGATGAGCAGGCAGGGCCCTGCCGCTGGAAGAATGGAGGCACACTCAGGCCATCCGTGAGCATGAAGCCCTTCTGGGTCGCTTAATGTGCCAGATGATCCAGCTCCTATAGTCTGGGGCCATAAGTGGCCTGGAGCTCCAAGTGCCTCTTCCTTCCCAGGACTCTAGGGGTGATGTCAGATATGGGCAGGGGGCCCAACTGTCCAGGCAGCCTGATCCAGTTCCCCAACTGAGTGATTGTGAAGCTGCCTTCATCAGCCGTGACCTATCCAACTGTGGGATTGACATCTCTGTCTTCTATTAGTCGAGCTTCCAGGACTACAATGCCTACCAAAAAGACAAATATCATAAGGACAAGAACACCTTGAGCTTCGTTAACCTTGGCACCAGTGAGAACAAGCTCTGCATAGATCTGATGACTGAAAGATTGCAAGAAAGTGACACGAACGGCATTGAGGACATCTTGCTGCAGTACCCTGATTGGAGAGGGCACCCGTTCCTGCAAGAAGAAGTGGCCCAGTTCCTGACCTACTAGTGCAAGGCACCTGCCCGACTTGATCCAGAAAATGTGGTTGTTCTAAATGGCTGCTGCTCTGTCTTCTCTGCACTGGCCATGGTTCTGTGTGATCCAAGCGAGGCCTTCCTGGCGCCTGCTCCCTTCTATAGTGGCTTTGACTTTAGCTCCTGCCTGTACGTGAAGGTTGAGTTGATTCCTGTCCACCTGGAGAGTGAGATCACTGTTGCAAACACCCATCTGTTCCACCTTGCTGTGGACAAGTTAGAGGAAGCCCTGCTTAAAGCTAGGCCTGAGAGGAAAAAGGTCCGAGGCCTTGTGCTAATCAACCCTCAGAATCTTCTGGGTGACATCTACTCCTCAGACTCGCGATGGAATACCTGGAATTTGCCAAGAGGTATAACCTACATGTGATCATAGATGAGATTTACATGCTATCTGTGTTTTTGATGAATCCATCACATTCCACAGTGTCCTAAGCATGAAAAGTCTGCCTGATCACAACAGGACCCATGTGATCTGGGACACCAGTAAGGATTTTGGCATCTCTGGCTTCCTCTTTGGTACTCTGTTTACACCCACCACAAGGAGATGGCTTCTGCTGTGAGCACCTTTGGCTACCTCCACAGTATCTCTGGCATCACCTAGCACAAGCTGTGTCAACTGCTCCAGAACACAGAATGGATTGACAAAGTGTACCTGCCCACCAATAACTACCGGCTGTGGGAAGCTCACAAGTACATCACTGCCAAGCTAAAGGCATTGGAGATCCCCTTTCACAGCTGCAGCTCTGGCCTCTATATCTGGATCAACTTGAAAAAGTACCTGGATCCCTGTACATTTGAAGAGCAACAGCTCCTCTCTCCGCTTCCTGGACAACAAGCTGTTGTTATCCTGTGGCAAAGCCTGTATGTATAAGGAGCCAGGCCGGTTCCACCTCATCTTTGCAGACGAGCTCCCCCCGGCTAAAATTGGCCATACATCAGTTCTGTGGTGTGCTGCAGGAACAGAAGCAGGCTTTGCTAGTGAAGCAGTTGGAAGATGCATTGAGGGAGTAGACTGTCTGCCTCCCAACGAGTAGCTCTAGCCCATCACTTGCTCAGGGACCCCCTAATGTCAGCCCCTGGTCCAGAAGCCTGGGGTGTATTTTTGTCAGTGCTGCAACTAAGAAAATTGTGGGCTCCTCCAGGAAGATCTCATCTGACCCAGTCATCACCCTCCTTAAGCTGAGTGCCTGCTGTCTTTGGAAGCTTTGCATCTTTTTAGTGTTTGCTAGATATTATATATGCAAAATGTTTTTATTGGGGTTGGGGTGGGAAGGCCTGGAGGCACCTACAGAAATAAAGGAAGCTCCCTGGGCCCCTATTTAGATGGTTTATTTTTATATTCAATATCTAATAAATTCTATGTTCTCTTAAAAAACTGATAAATAGGTGGAACTTAATTAAAAGTTTCTGCGCAGCAAAAGCAATAATCAGCAAAGTAAACAGACAACCCACAGAGTGGGAGAAAATCTTCACACTCCGTACATCTGACAAAGGGCTAATATACAGAATCTACAAGGAACTCAAACAAATTAACAAGAAAAAAACAATCCCATCAAAAAGTGGGCTAAGGACATGAATACACAATTCTTAAAAGAAGATATGGAAATGGCCAACAAACGTATGAAAAAATGCTCAGCATCACTAATGATCAGGGAAATGCAAATCAAAGCCACAATGTGATACTACCTTACTCCTGCAAGAATGACCATAATCAAAAAATCAAAAAATAACAGATGTTGTCAAGGATGCGGTAAAAAGGGAACACTTCTACACTGCTGGTGGAAAAGTAAACTAGTATAACCACTGTGGAAAACAGTGTGGAAAGTCTTTAAAGAACTAAAAGTAGAACTACCATTTGATCCAGAAATCCCACTACTGGGTATCTACCCAGAGGACAAGAAGTCATTATTCAAAAAAGATACTTGCACATGCATGTTTATAGCAGCACAATTTGAAATTACCAAAATATGGAACCAGCCCAAATGCCCATCAATCAATGAATGGATAAAGAAATTGTGGTATATATATACACCACGGAATGCTATTCAGCCATAAAAAGGAATGAAATAATGGCATTCACAGCAACTTAGATGGAATTGGAGACCATTATTCTAAGTGAAGTAGCTCAGGAATGGAAAACCAAACATCATATGTTCTCACTCATAAGTGGGAGCTAAGCTATGAGGACACAAAGGCATAAGAATGATACAGTGCCTTTCCTTTCAGCGGAGCATGGCGGCAAGATCGCCTTACAAATTTCCAAGAAGAGGAAGTTTGTCACTGATGGCATCTTCTAAGCTGAAATGAATGAGTTTCTTACTCAGGAGCTGGCTGAAGATGGCTACTCTGGAGTTGAGATGCGAGTTACACCAACCAGGACAGAAATCATTGTCTTAGCCACCAGAACACAGAATGTTCTTGGTGAGAAGGGCCGGCGGATTCGGGAACTGACTGCTGTAGTTCAGAAGAGGTTTGGCTCTCCAGAGGGCAGTGTAGAGCTTTATGCTGAAGAGGTGGCCACTAGGGGTCTGTGTGCCATTGCCCAGGCAGAGTCTCTGCCTTACAAACTCCTAGGAGGGCTTGCTGTGCGGAGGGCCTGCTATGGTGTGTCGCGGTTCATCATGGAAACTGGGGCCAAAGGCTGTGAGGTCGTGGTGTCTGGGAAACTCTGAGGACAGAGAGCTAAATCCATGAAGTTTGTGGACGGCCTGATGATCCACAGCAGAGACCCTGTTAACTACTACGTTGACACTGCTGTGCGCCATGTGTTGCTCAGACAGAGTGTGCTGGGCATCAAGGTGAAGATCATGCTGCCCTGGGACCCAACTGGTAAGATTGGCCCTAAGAAGCCCCTGCCTGACCACGTGAGCATCGTGGAACCCAAAGATGAGATAACTGCCCACCACCCCCATCTCAGAACAGAAGGGTGGGAAGCCAGAGCCTCCTGCCGTGCCCTCAGTCACCACAGCATAACAGGATCTCCTTGGCAGCTGTATTCTGGAGTCTGGATGTTGCTCTGTAAAGACCTTTATAAAATATTGTACAAAGACAGAAAAAAAAAAGAATGATACAGTGGACTTTGGGGACTTGGGGGAAAGAGTGGAAGGGGGTGAGGGATAAAAGATTACAAATTGGGTACAGTGTATACTGCTAAAAATGGCAGGTAAAAGTAAATGGCAAATCCATGTTCTAATCCCTAGAATCTGTGAATGTTACCTTATATAGCAAAAAAGGGCCAGCTTTATGTGTAATAACAATTGTATCCATCAATGTTAGTTAGCATATTTAAAAAACTAAAAAAGAGAAAGCATATGATAATTTCGATAGACAGAAAAACCGTTTGACAAAATCCAACATCATTCTTCATGAGAAAACCTAAACAACCTAGGAAAAGAAAGGAACTGTCTCAATAAGGACAAAGAGCACCTACAAAAAGCCTACTAACATTATACTTAATGATGATAGACTAAATGCTTTCTCATCATCAGGAACAAGACATTCCAGTACATTCACATTGTACTGGAAGTTCTGTCCAGTACAATCAGGCAAGAAAAATAACACTCATCCAAATTGGACATGAAGCAAAAATGCATGTGTTCACAGACACGTGATCATCTATGTAGAGAATCTGATGGAATCTACAAAAAAAGTTGCAGGATCCAGTACAAATATGTAAAAGTAGTATTTTTATATACTAGCAACAGATAATCAGAAATTAAGAAACATTTCTGATAGCACCAAAAATATAAACTACATAAGGATAAATTTGGCGAAAGTATGTAAAAGACTCATATACTAAAAATTACAAAACATCATTGAGAAAAAGTAAAGAAGAGTTAAATAAATGGAGAGGTATATCTCTTTCATGGGTCAATTTTGTTAAGATTTTCCCCAAGTTCATTTATTGATTCAGTGCAATTCCAATTTTAAATAAACTTAACAAGCTGATTCTAAACTCATATGGAAATTCAAAAGGCATAGAATAGCTGAAAGAACTCTGATAAAGAAGGATAAAATGGGAGGGAAACTCTGATTCTAAGACTTTTTATAGAGCTACAATAATCAAAACAGTGTAGCATTGGTGTAAAAATATAAAAATCAATGGAACAGACCAGGGAATGCAGACCTGGACCCATGCATATATGGACAAGTGATTTTTGACAAAGGTACAAAGGCAACAAAGTGGAAAAAGGATAGCCTTCTCAACAAATGGTGCTGAAATCATTGCCCATTTTCAAAAAAATTAACTTTGATTTATACACTCCACCACATACGAAGTAAACTCAAAATGGATAATATACCCAAAGATAAAGGCTAAAACCATAAAATATCTAGAAGAACACATATGAGAAAATTTCTATGACTTTGGGTTAGGCAACAATTTCTTAGACATGTCACTAAAAGCATGATTCATTAGAGAAAATTTTAATAAATTCGACTTCATCAAAATTTAAAACTGCTCTTCTTTTTTTTTTTTTTTTTTTTTCGAGACAGTCTCACTCTGTCACCCAGGCTGGAGGGCAGTGGTGCAATCTTGGCTCACTGCAACCTCCGCCTCCCAGGTTCAAGTGATTCTCCTGCCTCAGCCTCTCAAGTAGCTGGGACTACAGGTGCACGCCACCACACTGGGCTAATTTTTTTGGTTGTATTTTTAGTAGAGACGGGGTTTCACCATGTTGGCCAGGCTGGTCTTGAACTCCTGACCTCATGATCCACCCACCTCGGCCTCCCAAAGTGCTGGGATTACAGGTGTGAGCCACCTTGCCCAGCCTAAAACTGCTCTCTGAAGACACTGTTAACAGATCAAAAGACAAGCCATAGTCTGGAAGAACATATTTGTAAATCGTGTATCCAATAAAGAACTTCTATCCAGATGTAATGAACTCTCAAAATTCAGTCATAAGAAAACAAATAACCCAATAAAAATGGGCGAAGATTTTAGTAGAGATTCTACCAAGAAAGTATATGGATGGCAAATAAGCACATGAAATATATTCATGTCAGCTGCGTGCGGTGGCTGATGCCTGTAATCCCAGCACTTTGGGAGGCAAAGGTGACAGGATCACTTGAGTCCAGGAGTTTGAGACCAGACTGGTTAATACAGCAAAATCCCATGTCTACTAAAAATACAAAAATTAGCCAAGCATGGTGGCGCACACCTGTAATCCCAGCTATTCGGGAAGCTGAGGCATGAGAATCACTTGAACCAGGGAGGCGGAGGTTGCAGTGAGCTGAGATTGTGCCACTGCATTCCAGTCTTGGCGACAGATCAAGACTCTGTCTTAAAAGAAAAAAAGAAAGAAATACACTCATGTCATTAAATGCAAATCAAAGCACTCATTATACTCCATTCAGTGGTGCTGCTTTGCTTGCCTAGCTCTCAGCAGAGTTCTCCCATGGCCTCTACGGAGGACATGACTTCCTCCAAAATAAACCAAGGACTCCATTTAGGTAGGCTTAGATTATAGCTTCTTGCGTGCAGCTCTACACATGGGAGTGCAGTGTCAATATATTCCACTGCTGCTATGTTGCACACTTGGAAAAACTTTTCACTTTCTTTCCTTGGGTATCTCCCTCCTTCAGGAGTTGGGCTCATTCTTTTCAATTCTAGAAATACAGAAGATTTATTCCATGTTATTTCTCTGATGACAAAGCATGATAGACTCAGGCTTTTGGTATACACAGAGTCTGTTTCACATTATCTTCTGTTCCTGGGTTTGACAACTTCTCTTTATCCCTTTAAAACAAAAGCCTGATATCTCTGAAAGAAAGAGTATAACTTTCAAAATGACAATCTACAAGTTATATTCTAGGGTATATGTGTTTTGTCCATATAATATTTAACACATTTTTTTTAAATTAATTGCCAGAATTGAAAAGGGAAGATAATTCTGTAAAAATCTAGATTTATATCTCCTCTTTAAAAACAAAAGTAGGCTGAGCATGGTGGCTCATGCCTACAATCCCAGCACTTTGGGAGGCTGAGGCGGGAAGATAGCTTGAGGCCAGGAGTTCAAGACCAGCTTGGGCAACATAGCAAGACTCTTGTCTCCACAAAATAGTAAAACAATTAGTCAGGTGTGGTGGCATGCACCTGCAGTCCTAGCTACTCAGGAGGCTGAGAGGATTGCTTCAGCCCGGGAGTTTGAGGCTGCAGTGAGCTGTGATTGCACCACTATATTCCAGCCTGAATGACAGGGTGAGACTCTGTCTCTGAATAGTAAAACTTTAAAAATAAATAAAACAAGAAGATCTGATCTCACGGCTGCAGCATTCTCACATGGCAACATTTGGCAAGAGCTAAGTAGCAACTTCTTTTAGGCAGGGCCTAGGAGTGTATGCTCTTTGGTTTGTCTGAATCACCATTTAGCTGGCTTCGCTCATTTCACATACCTGCCTGACCCTTCTACAGGCGTTTGAGTTTAGACCTCTGCAGTAGAATTTCATATCCTCTCAGGTCTATTTATCCTTTATAGTAGGCCGAGGAATGGCCCAAAGATATCCAAGTTCTAATCACTAGAACCTGTGACCATTACCTTATATAGCAAAAGAGCCTTGCAGATGTGATTACATCTTGAGTTGCGGAGATTATTTTGGATTATCTGAGTGGGCCCTAAATGCAATCACAGGGGTCCTTATAAGAGGGGGGAGGCAGAGAGAGATTTGATGACAGAAGATAAAGAGTCAACATGACAGTGGAAACGGGGAGAAAAGGTGGTGTGATGTGGGGCCAAGCCCCCTCAGGAATGAGGACGGCCTCCAGGTGCTGGATGAGGCCAGGTGAAGGATTCTCCTCTCGAGCTTCTAGAGGGTGGACATCCCTGCCAACACCTTGATTTCAGGCCGGTGAAGCTTCTTTTGGACTTCTGACCTCCAGAAGAAAATAAATGGTGTTTTAAGCCACAGAATTTGTGTTGATTTGTTGCAGCAGCCACAGGAAGCTCATACAACCTCTCTGGATGGAAAAATGGGTTTGTGACAGTCTTGTAATGCTATCACATATTTTCCCATGTTAAGCTGTTTCTAGCTCAGGGTTTTTTGGTTTTTTTCTTTTATTTTCTTTCTTTCCTTTTTTTTTTTTTTTTTGAGAGAGAGTCTAGCTCTGTCCCAGGCTGAAGTGCAGTGGCACGGTCTTGGCTCACTGCAACCTCCACCTCCTCGGCTCAAGCAATCCTCCCAGCTCAGCCTCCCAAGTAGCTGGGATCACAGGCATGTGCCACCATGCCCGGCTAATTTTTGTATTTTTGTAGAGACAGAATTTCACCATGTTGCCCAGGCTAGTCACGAACTCCTGGGCTCAAGAGACTCGCCTGCCTCAGCCTCCCAAAGTGCTGGGATTACAGGTGTGAGCCACCATGTCTAGCCAGGAGTTTTGTTTTTAACATGTTACCCCCAGGATCATATTGGATTTACTCATATAGAGGGATCAGTATGAGTAAACCACTGTGTAAGCAAATGGGAGAATATCTGAATGCTGCTTTACATATTTGCTACTGTCTACTTTCCTTCTTCACCACTGGAACCTATAAAGGGAAAAACTGATAGAATAATTTTGAGTTGCTAGGAAAGAATCCCAAGTTTCTATATGGTTAGGTGGTTGGATAGCATATAGATAATTAGATTACCTATTTTTACCTACTAAAATCCTCCAGTGAATCTAACAAAATATTGGTCTAGAAAAGTCCATTTTAGTCATAAAATTCAATTGTTTCTTCTTTCAGTTTGGAAGAGAGAAATAAACATTTAGAGGATTTAATTAGAAAGCCCAGAGAAAAAGCCAGAAAACCAAGGTAAGTTTCCCTTTATTTTTAAAATTAATAATGTCTTTAAAATATAGGTAATATGGCCAAGTGCGGTGGCTCACGCCTGTAATCCCAGCACTTTGGGAGGCCAAGGTGGGTGGATCACCTGAGGTCAGGAGTTCGAGACCAGCCTGGCCAACATGGCAAAACCCCATCTCTACTAAAAATACGAAAATTAGCCGGGCATGGTGGCACGTGCCTGTAATCCCAGCTACTGGGGGGCTGAGGCAGGAGGATCGCTTGAACCTGGGAGGCGGAGGTTGCAGTGAGCCGAGATCGTGCCACTGCACTCCAGCATGAGCAACAGAGTGGGACTCTGTCTCAAAAAAAAAATGTATATATATATATATATATATATATATATATAGATAGTTAGATAGATAGTTAGATAATACTTAAAAAAAAAAACTCTTTTCCTTATCTCAATTTAAGGTAAACAAGATAATTATATGAAAGTGCTTCATGTTTTGCCTAGCATAAAGTAGTTGCTTGATTAATGTTTTTTGTAGAACCTAAAATGGAAAGCCAGATTCCCTGCTTTCATGGAATGTACAGTCACTCTAAGGAAGAAACTATAAAGATTATGGGCTAAGATTTTTGTCTACAACAAAACTACTTGCCCTGCTCTGTATTTTATCACCATATTTTCTTACAGTAACATTAAGCCTCACAGTCTGCTATTTTAGAAGAGGCTCAACATCTGATGCTACAAGATGTATGCGCAAACCCTGTGTGGTTGATTAAGAACACAGCAGTATAGGCAGGGCACGGTGGCTCATGCCTGTAATCCTAGCACTTTGGGAGACTGAGGCGGGTGAATCACTTGAGGTCAAGAGTTCAAGACTAGCCTGGCCAACATGGTGAAACCCTGTCTCTACTAAAAATACAAAAATTAGCCAGGCATGGTGGTGGGCACCTGTAATCCCAGCTACTCAGGAGGCTGAGGCAGGAGAATCGCTTGAACCCGGGAGGCAGAGGTTGCAGTGAGCTGAGATCGTGCCACTGCACTACAGCCTGGGCAACAGGGCAAAAACTCCATCTCAAGAAAAGAAAAGAAAAAAAAAAGAACACAGCAGTATGTTAAAATGAGACTCTTTCTAGCCCAGTTCCTTAGGTGCTAATAACACTGTTACCAGTTCCCAAAGTGAGAGTGAGTTTTTCCCATGTGCAGAGTTTCCGAAATAAATGATTTCAGAGAACCCCTTCCATGACTCCTATCTCTTGGCCAGATCCAAGATATAAAAGTATGGAGAGTAGGGAAGATTGGAGAAGGATTTCTTCG